>NC_000013.11:82534803-82687644 GCF_000001405.40 Homo sapiens
TTTAATATGTAAAGCAAACATTGACAGAATTAAAGGAATAAATACATAACACAATAATAGTAGAATATTTCAATATTCCACTTTCAATAATGCATAGACCAACCAGACATAGGTCAATAAGGAAAAGAAGGCTTGAACAACCCTGAAAGCCATTAGGACTGACAGATATACACAAAATACTCAACTGAACAATAGCAAAATAAACATTCTTTTAAAGTACACATGAACATTATGCAGAATATATAACATATTAAGCCACAAAACAAGTCTTAACAAATTTAAGAATACTGAAATTATATTAAGTATGTTTTCTAACTGCAATGGAATAGAACTAGAAATTAATAACAAATGAAAACAATTTAAAAATTCCAAATATGTAGAAATTAATAAGCTTCTGAAAAACTATTGGGTTAAAGAAGAAAACTAAAAATATTAGAAAATATTTTAGAAAAATGAAAATGGAAAGGAAACATATCAAACTTATAAGATGTAGCAGAAACAGTACTACAAGACAAGTTTATAGCAGTAAATGCCTACATTAAATAGTGGAAATATCACCAATAAACGACCTGACTTTACACCTCAAACAACTATAATAAGAAGAACAAACTAACCCAAAGTCAGTAGAAGAAAGAAATAGAGATTAGAACAGAAATAAACCAAATGGGGAGTAGAAAAACAATAGAAAAAAATGAAGAAACCTTAAGATCAACAAATTTGACAAACTCTTAGGAAGTCTAAGGAAGAAAGAGAAGAAGCAGATAGAAATCAGAAATAAAAGAGGAGAGATAACAACTGATGTTACAGAAATAAAAGAGATAAACTAATATACATAATTATATGTCAAAAAATTGGATAATCTAAAAGAAATGAATAAATTCCGAGAAACATAGAACCTACAAAGATTGTATCATGAAGAAACAGAAAACCTTAACACATCTCTAACTAGTGGGAGATTGAGTCAGTAATTAAAAATCCCACCACAGAAAAAAATCCCAAAGCCAACAGCCTCCATTGGATAATTCTACCAACCATTTAAAGAGTTGGGCAAAGTAGCTCACACCTGTAATCCCAGCACTTTGGGAGGCCAACTGGGCAGGATACCTTGAGGACAGTAGCTTGGCAACATAGTGAGGCCATCTCTACAATATATATATATATATATATATGATTACAACAAATATTTTTAAAAAATTTAAAGAAGAATTGATGCCAATCCTAATCAAATTCTTCCAAAAAAATTTAGAGGAAGGTTCTTTCAAACTGATTTTATGATGCCAGGATTCCCCTGATACCAAAGTCAGACAAATGTACTATAAGAAAAGAAAATGATGACCAATGCCCTTGATGAATATTGATGCAAAAAATCCACAATAAAATACTAGCAAAAGGCCGGGTGTGGTGGCTCACACCTGTAATTCCAGAAGTTTGGGAGGCTAAGGCGGGTGGGTCACCTGAGGTCAAGAGTTCAAAACCAGCCTGGCTAATATGGTGAAACCCCATCTTTACTAGAAGTACAAAATTAGCTGGGTGTGGTGGTGCATGTCTGTAATCCTAGCTACTCGGGAGGCTGAGGCAGGAGAATCACCTGAACCAGGGAGGTGGAGGTTTCAGTGAGCTGGGATCCCACCACTGCACTCCAGCCTGGGCAACGAGAGTGAATCTCCATCTCCAAAAAAAAAAAAAAAGGACCAGCAAAGCAAATTTAACAACACATTAAATATATTTTATACCATTAACCAATAGGATTTTTTTTCTAGAAAAAATCATTATTTAATTTGTGAAAATCAATCAATGTAACAAGTCACAGTAATAGAAAATTACTGAAGGGCAAAAATCACATGATTATTTTAACTAATGCATAGAAAGTGTTTCTCAAAAGTCAGCAACTCTTTATTATGAAAACACTTAAAAAAAACCAAATTGCTGCAATATAATAAAAGTCCCATATGTAAAGCCTACAGCCCAGAACTAATCATTTTTCCCTGAATAATTACCATTTGATACGATTACCTTATGTCTTTCAACAAGCAATCTTTACGTTAAGATTCTTTTTCTTTCTTTCTTTTTTTTTTTTTTAGTTGTAAGATTTTTTATTGGTCAGTTTTTAAATTTCTTTTTTTTTTTTAATTATACTTTAAGTTTTAGGGTACCTGTGCACATTGTGCAGGTTAGTTACATATGTATACATGTGCCGTGCTGGTGCGCTGCACCCACTAACTCGTCATCTAGCATTAGGTATATCTCCCAATGCTATCCCTCCCCACTCCCCCCACCCCACAACAGTCCCCAGAGTGTGATATTCCCCTTCCTGTGTCCATGTGATCGCATTGTTCAATTCCCACCTATGAGTGAGAATATGCGGTGTTTGGTTTTTTGTTCTTGCGATAGTTTACTGAGAATGATGATTTCCAATTTCATCCATGTCCCTACAAAGGACGTGAACTCATCATTTTTTATGGCTGCATAGTATTCCATGGTGTATATGTGCCACATTTTCTTAATCCAGTCTATCATTGTTGGGCATTTGGGTTGGTTCCAAGTCTTTGCTATTGTGAATAATGCCGCAATAAACATACGTGTGCATGTGTCTTTATAGCAGCATGATTTATAGTCATTTGGGTACACAAACAAATGGAAGAACATTCCATGCTCATGGGTAGGAAGAATCAATATTGTGAAAATGGGCATACTGCCCAAGGTAATTTACAGATTCAATGCCATCCCCATCAAGCTACCAATGACTTTCTTCACAGAATTGGAAAAAACTACTTTAAAGTTCATATGGAACCAAAAAAGAGCCCGCATCGCCAAGTCAATCCTAAGCCAAAAGAACAAAGCTGGAGGCATCACACTACCTTACTTCAAACTATACTACAAGGCTACAGTAACCAAAACAGCATGGTACTGGTACCAAAACAGAGATATAGATCAATGGAACAGAACAGAGCCCTCAGAAATAACACCGCATACCTACAACTATCTGATCTTTGACAAACCTGAGAAAAACAAGCAATGGGGAAAGGATTCCCTATTTTTTTTTTTTTTTTGAGATGGAGTCTCGCTCTGTCGCCCAGGCCGGACTGCGGACTGCAGTGGCGCAATCTCGGCTCACTGCAAGCTCCGCTTCCCGGGTTCAAGCCATTCTCCTGCCTCAGCCTCCCGAGTAGCTGGGACTACAGGAGCCCGCCACTGCGCCCGGCTAATTTTTTGTATTTTTTTTTAGTAGAGACGGGGTTTCACCTTGTTAGCCAGGATGGTCTCGATCTCCTGACCTCATGATCCACCCGCCTTGGCCTCCCAAAGTGCTGGGATTACAGGCGTGAGCCACCGCGCCCGGCCAGGATTCCCTATTTAATAAATGGTGCTGGGAAAACTGGCTAGCCATATGTAGAAAGCTGAAACTGGATCTCTTCCTTACACCTTATACAAAAATCAATTCAAGATGGATTAAAGATTTAAACGTTAGACCTAAAACCATAAAAACCCTAGAAGAAAACCTAGGCATTACCTTTCAGGACATAGGCATGGGCAAGGACTTCATGTCCAAAACACCAAAAGCAATGGCAACAAAAGAAAAAATTGACAAATGGGATCTAATTAAAATAAAGAGCTTCTGCACAGCAAAAGAAACTACCATCAGAGTGAACAGGCAACCTACAAAATGGGAGAAAATTTTTGCAACCTACTCATCTGACAAAGGGCTAATATCCAGAATCTACAATGAACTCAAACAAATTTACAAGAAAAAAACAAACAACCCCATCAAAAAGTGGGCGAAGGACATGAACAGACACTTCTCAAAAGAAGACATTTATGCAGCCAAAAAACACATGAAAAAATGCTCATCATCACTGGCCATCAGAGAAATGCAAATCAAAACCACTATGAGATACCATCTCACACCAGTTAGAATGGCAATCATTAAAAAGTCAGGAAACAACAGGTGCTGGAGAGGACGTGGAGAAACAGGAACACTTTTACACTGTTGGTGGGACTGTAAACTAGTTCAACCATTGTGGAAGTCAGTGTGGCGATTCCTCAGGGATCTAGAACTAGAAATACCATTTGACCCATCCATCCCATTACTGGGTATATACGTTAAGATTCTTATACAAAGCAATGTATTGCCTTATATGGTATCTCTATAAATGTACATAAAGCAAGTAATTATAATTTTGACATCTAACCATGATATATAAATCTATATCTCATTCTTTGACTAATTTTAATATAGAACAATTTATATATTGGTTGGAAGTTTGAAAGACTTTTTTTTTTTTTAGACGAAGTCTCCCTCTATCCCCCAGGCTGGTGTGCAGTGGCGAGATCTTGGCTCCTTGCAACCTCAGCCTGCCAGGTTCAAACAATTCTCTGCCCCAGCCTCCCGCGTAGCTGGGATTACAGGTGCCCACCACCCCGACCGGCTAATTTTTGTATTTTTAGTAGAGATGGGCTTTCACCATCTTGGCCGGGTTGGTCTTGAACTCCTGACCTCGTGATCCACCCGCCTCAGTCTCCCAAAGTGCTGGGATTACAGGAGTGAGCCACCGCGTCTGGCCAAAGACCTCTTTTGTAATTAAAATGCTAACAACAAAGCCTAGAAATGTAAACCTTTTTATTTGGAAGATAAAACAGATCTTAAGCTTTCTTTTACACTTGCGTTTTTAATGTATTTATTTGGGATCAATATTAGAAAGTCAGGTACAGAAGCTCTATATGACATTATCCTATGGATGATATGGAATGACCGTCAAGGAATTTATGTACATCTTAATAGGAAAATATATATTTTTAAAAATGTTTTTGTGGAAAGGTTTTTTAAAAAAATGTCTAAAATAGTATTTTTGCAATAATATTGAACCAATTTTACTATGATTTATCAAGCAGTGTGCATTTTGTTTAATATCTTCACTTTATAATAATTGGCGTCGCTACACTTGGTAAGAAAAAATAAAATGTGTTCTTTAGGTATTATTGTGAAAATTCATATTTTTCTAAAGTGATCCTGACACATGGGAAAAGGTTGAATTAAAAAATATGACAAAACTTGTTTATTCCCTATTTCAGTATTGAGTGGGAAATAAAAGACTCAGGATTTGACGTAGCCACAAAAGTAAAACAAATGATAGATCTGTCAATTTTGAAAATACATACATATATCTTGCTTATTAGAGTAATCCTTTATTATAATATTAAAACACTTTATTCAACATTTGTTTTGCCAAAATTTTATTTGAAACATTCTAGAAGTTTGCTTATAAAAGAAAACAAAAACAATGGAAGAATACTTGGTGAAATAGGGTTTCCAGCTTTTAAATTTTTTATTAGAGGCTCATAAAAATAGTTCTCATTTTTGCTAGCTTTAGTATGCATTTTTAAATTGGAAACTATATTTGTAATACATTGGAATATTGTAGTGGATTTATCTCCATGCATATTTAATAAAATAATATATTTATGAATTAGTTTAAAACCTGCATCAAATCAAGGCATTTGAGATAGTCCAAAAAGGTAGTGGCATGCCACAGAACTAGAAAATTCCTCTCTTTCTCTCTGGTAAGTCATCACCCAGACTTATCAAGCACAAAATGATTTTTTCTTTATAAAAAAATTAAATAGAATAATCTTGTTTATTGGATATTCTTTTTGTTACTTCAATTTAGCCTGTTCTTCTCTACATAGCCAGCAAATCAAACAACGTGAATTCTGAATCTGTTTTCTATTGTTTACCAGTGCGTGTTATGGTTTCAAAGTTTCTGCTTTATCGCTGCCACACACATCCTTCATCTAGATATCCATACCGCTAATTCAATTCCTCTCCGTCTTTGATCAACTATCATTTCCTCGATAAGAGCAATCATGAACACCCTATTTAAAACTGCAACAATTTCCCTCAGAACATCTCATTGTTTGACCTCTGCAATTTTATATTATTTATAGTTTTAAAATATTTGTTATGATTTATTATATTTACCATTATTATTTATTATTCCTGTTTTCCTTTTCGATAGAATGATACCTCAAGAGGACAAGGTTCTCCTGTCTGTTTTAAAGTTCAAAATTGTGTTTCTGTATCGAGAAATATATCTTGCATATGGTAGATGCTTAAACAATCCAAGTTATTTCCGGATCAACAGAGATGTTCAAAATATTAAATTAATTTAAAATGTTTATTATGATCATATTATGTCCAAAATAATTAAATCAAGAAACAAAGCAAAAAAAAACACATTATATGGAGATTTTAAAATATATGTGCCTGTTAGCATTTTGTAATGTTAAAAGGGGGGTGTTATGCTGATACTATTTGATAAGCAGAGAGCTTCATAACCAAAATTTCAACTCCAACTCTTAATTCCATGACTATGTTTACCAACTCAATAATGAACTAAATTTTCATCTTCCAATATTGATTATTGCTTTCAATTTTTAACATAATGCCATTTTTGCATCGATTCGTCATTTATATCTCATCATATATAAACTTTTTTTCGTTTTAGGAAAAGATTGTAACATAGGTTTATTTTATTTCTCTGTTATTTCTTGGGAGACAGAAATTTAGATAATTTAAATTTTCCGTAGGAATATAGTTATTAAGTGGATAAAGCATGAATAGAATATATTTTTTCTAAATACAAAAACAGATTTTACATTATAGTTTAATGATTCCTTTTGACTTTTTCAACCCAATTAAATAATTGAATACAAAATATTTAAGAAATCAAATGTAATTTTAAAACCATTTGTTCTCCTACATGTTCCAAGTTAATCATGTCTAATCTCACCTATTATGATTACACTTTTACCCAAGCATTTGCTCCATAACTAAATTAGTTTATATCTACATACATTATTTTCTAAAAATTCTTACCTATAACTTTATGTTTTCTATTTATGTTGTACTTATGTTTAGATTACATATCATAATAAAATATATTATGTTTAGGGGATATATTATAAAATTCTAGGAATGTAAGAGTGTACCTATGTGACAGCAGGCACATCATGAGTAGAACATACATATCTGTTGGTCTTGCTTGTGAGAAAATCTTACCCCTTGTTATGATAATAGCTCTTCACATTTCTCTTGTGGATTTAACACTCACTTTCATTTACTCTGTTTCTGATGCGACTATTAATCATAGTGATAGGTAATAGATTTTAATTCAAGCTAGATTAATATTTCTCCTGGGAATTAAATATTCAATCAAATATTCTATGTAGAGAAAATAATTGGTACTATAATTTTGTGTATAATTTTTCTGTGTGTATTTGTGTGTGCTTCTGCTATCAGAACCAAAAACTGATAAACCTTGAGTTACTATCTGAAATCACAGGCGCTGCCCTGGTTCATGCTCTTGTCTGCTTTCTTTCATTTCTATAAACTACCCACCTATAATTTTGTTTTTATTAAGTTTCCTAATAGTTTGTGTTGTGAACTGTAATAAATAATTATCTATATTTCTCATGAAAATAATTTTTGTGTATTGGAAGTTTTAAACGCATCTTATCCCTAAAGTAGCTTCAAATATAAAATATTTGCCACTTTTTTAATTCCACATGCAATATGAAACATTGTTTCAACCCTGATCTGGTGTTAAAGTATTTTTGAACTGTTAAATATTACCTTTCTTGTTTTGTTGTGGTGTTATGTGCTGGATGAATAGAGTTATGATTAGTCTCAGTTCATGAATTTATAGTCTCTATGACAGGCTGAGGTCTGTTCTAGGCTGTGCTTTTAGAAGAATATACAGGAATATTGACAGCTTATACAAAGGGCAGGAATGTTCAAAAAGCAGGGAAGGTTCTACTTCTTCCACGCCTGTAGAAAAGCATCCTTAGCTTCTAAAGATCCAGGCCTACATGCCTTTGCCTACAAGGCCTGTATGCCTTGAACTAATCTTTTTAAAGAATTGGGCCCTTGTGTCTAAAACACATTAGAAAAACTATAAAATAAAAATGTTTAAAAAATAGAGAAAAAATTTGGGTGGAGGGAGAAGGAGAGAGGGAGGGAGAGGGAGGGGGAGAGAGAGAGAGAGAGAGAGACAGAGAGAGAGAGAAAGAGAAAGAGAGAGAGGAGGGAGCCGGGGGAATGTTTCAGCTTGATAAAGTCTCCATGTCAATCTTTCACAAAACCTGGTAATAAAAATGAACACACGAAGATTTCACTTGGTTATAAGTAAAGTAAATCCCCTAAGGCCATAAGACTGAGTTTATTTTGATAATATTGATTTAAAAAAAAAGAGAAAGAAAAGCTATGAGGCAAGGAGCAGTCATTAGTTCACAGAAAATCACAATGCATTTGCAAGAGAGTGTGTAGTGTTAACCTCTCACATTGTCAGCTACTGGCACACAAATGAGAGCTTCCTCTCCCTGAAGTCATGTTTAACAACAACAACAAATATTCAGAAAGATTTATTTTGGCAGAGTTTTACAAGAAATTGCACAGTTTGGGTTTTTTTTTTCTTTTTAGACACTCTTGGCTATAGGCTACACTGCAATTGATATTTTTTGTAATGTGCTTTTGTGTTTTGTATCAAAATGGTTAGATTGCCAAAAAAAAGAAGAAGGAAATAGAAGAAATAAAAACATATTTCAAAATGCCATTAATACCATAGCCATAGAGTTGAGTAGAAGTTTATCTTTAGACATATTCTACATATATTAGTAATTACACAGATTAATACCACTAAAAACTATATATTTGAAAAATCTAAACTTTTTGACACATTTTCTTATATGACAGATATGTTTACATGCACTCACATAAATGCTAGTTGTTAAAATGCATATGCAGACCTGAATAATTTCTGAAACTCTTTCTGAAAAGAAATAGTGATTATATTTTATTATTTCAGCTATGTATATTGGAGTTACGATAGGCAGAAACTCATTAGTTATACCTATGACACTGTCAATTTCATGTTGGGAATCAGAAAATGTAACATCTTTCAAAATGAACATTCAGTTACCAACTTGGAGAGACAACCACAGAGGGTGAAATAATTTTTCATTTTAGTGTAATTTACTTTAAAATTTTTAGCAAAACATTATTTTAATTTCTTTCTATAAAACATTTCAATGTACGTAGTTTTTATTCTAAACTCCATGTTCAATTAAATCTTTTATTTCATTTTCATTTTTTCAACTTTTATTTTAGATTCAGGTGTACATATGCAAGCATGTTGCCTGGCTATGTTGTGCAATAATGAGGTTTATGGTACAAATGATCCCTTTACCCAGGTACTGAGCAAAAGATAAGAGTTTGTTCTTTTTATGGGAGTATAGTATTGCATGGTATATATGTACAACATTTTCTTTACCCAGTTCACTGTTTTTGTTATTTATGTTTTTGTTTTGTTATTTATGTTATTCACTGTTTTGTTATTTATGTTATTGTTATTGTGAATAGTGCTGTGATGAACATGCAAGTGCACATGTCTATACGGTAAAACAATTCACTTTATTTTGAATTTATACTCAGTAACGAGTTTGCTCAGTCAAATGGTGGTTCTGTTTTAAGATCTTTGAGACATCTCTAAACCGCTTTCCACAGTGGCTGAACTAATTTACATTACCACCAACAGAGTATAAGCATTCTCTTTTCTTTGCTGCCTTGCCAGCATTGGTAGTTTTTTGACTTATTAATGATACATAGTGTTTCTGACTGACATGAGATGGTATCTCACTGTGCCTTTGATTTGCATTTCTCTGATGATTAGTGATATGGAACAATTTTTATGTTTGTTGCTCACTTATATGGCCTCTCTTAAAAAGTGGTTGTTCGTATATCATTCATATCATTCTAAAGAATATATATTCCAGCAATACAATAACTTATATTTTTACATAATAATATATATAATATTAATTTTATATCAAATGCTTTGCATGTTTAATGTAATTTTTAGCTTTCTTCATAATAATATAGATGTATGATCAAAGAAACTTTGCACTCATAGCTTTAGAAGTATGTTACCCTCTACATTACTATCTATATTATCTAAGGCAAGTACAAATCTTTTTTAGCTTCATTACCTTTATCTGTATTATTTAAAAAGTACCATTTGCAACCTGCGAAATTTTGTGCAGATAATTTGAAATAATGAATACCTTAGAAGTGTCAGTCAATATTTTAGAAGACGCCCAGTAGATGATAGTTTGTAATTTTAAATTATTTTATCATAAAGATATAGCACCAACATGTAATATAAAATATTTAAAAATATTAAAATTACAATACTTCATGTAAAAAAAAATGTGAGTCCATAAAGTGACACACACAGATACACACTCTGCAACCAGGAATTCCAAATGTGAACACAAGAGTGACCTTCAACTCAAAGTCTAAATAAAATTTAAATAAATCTCACTAACCCAACATCCTGCAAAAACTAAAGTTGCTCTAGATATTTTTATAAATGTAAATAGCATTTATATATCTAGAATCAAGTCTGCTTCTGGTTTCCTTGGTAATTTATGCTATATTTTTGGCCAACTATATACACATGTATAACCATAAACATATGCACACCTCATATATACACTTAGTGAACTCTCACTCTTTCAATAATTGCCCTAGTGACTGTTTGAATTATAAATGTTCCTCTACATGTTTGTGTGGGGATATAAAAATGTCCACAAAAAATACTCAGAGGAAAAAAATGATGAACAGCTTTTTTTCTCAGTGGTTAGATGTATAACATCTTTAAAAAGTCTTTTTTTTTCTTATCTACATTGCTTTCAATTATTTTGAATTCTATTTTTCATGATGTAAAACAACAGCAAAAATTCTTAGCAAAAACAAACAAACAAATATATAAAACTCTTGTATTTAAGGAGATGAAAGATCTAACCTAACATTAGTATTATTCTCTCTGTGACTTACGGTGTGGTTAGATAAATCATCCAAAATTATTCAATTAATATGTGACAGACCTGTGATTTGAACCTGTATCAGATTACTACAAATCACAGTTGTAAAAAACTATACAACTTTCTTTGGCAACACCATCTTGTTGTCTCTGTAGTGTAAGAGAATGTTTTCTTTTTTCTCTAACTTTTCTAGTTTCAATGGCTTTGGTCTGAGAATCAAACCAGCAAAAGACAGATTAATAAACAAAAAGTTTTAATTATGTAAGAATGTATAGGAGTTACAAAGAAAAATTTAGCACCAGGAAAAACAAGATAATTGAGAATAGCATAACAGCTTTGGCTAAACATAGGAAAAGGGGCTTGGGGCTTCTGCACAGAGGAGAGGGCAAGGTCCTAAGAGGAAGGGAGGAAATGAATAGAAAATAATGGTTGTTTTATGTAGATAAGTCTGTTGAGTGACAACAGTTACCTCTAGGAATAGCTCTTTCTGTTACACAGACACTTCCAAAAATATAATTTTTCTTTATAAATGTAAATTTATTTTACAAAGCAGAAAATTTATATTCTATTTTTAGGCAGTTAGGGGAAGGAAAAGAGCTTTTTCTGTGTCTGCTGTTTGTCGGTGGTCTTTAGTTCAAAATAGTCCATATGCCAAAGGGATATACTTTGGAGTAGCATATTCTGATATCCTTTTTCTTCTATGTTAACTCTTCTGCAAGAACATCAAAGTTTTCCATTATTTGATCCTCTTCAACTCACCCGGAATTTGTTTCACTGCTTCCAGAAGGATTCCTCCACTTGAGTCTGACTTGTCTCTTTATTTTGTACATCAGTTTAGGATCACTTCTGTCTTGCATTCCAGTTAATCTATGTCCCGGTTATAAACTTCAGGTTTTTTTAACCCTAATATTCTTTCAAAATTGAGTTCATATGAAACATTCTCCAGGTAGTTTCTTATAACTCCTCTGGCATATATATAATATTATATATAATGTTATAACTCCTCTGGCATATATATAAAATGTTATATATAATGTAACATTTTATATACATATAATGTTACATTATATATATTTATTATATATCAATATATAATATATATTGATATATAAATTCATTATATATTTATATATAATATATTTATATATAAATTTATTATATATAAATATATAATATATATTATATATAATAATATATATAATGTAACATTATATATAATAAATATATATAATGTAACATTATATATATAATAAATATATATAATGTAACATTATATATATAATAAATATATATAATGTAACTATATATAATAAATATATAATGTAACATTATATATATTTATTATATATAGTTACATTATATATAATGTAACATTATATATATAATATGTTACATATATATATTCTTCTTGTTTAAAGTTCTTGTTTAAAGTTCTCTCCTTTAAACGCTGAGTGTTTTTAATGAAATCTTGAAGCTTATCCACATTGCTGCATAACAATGAAGTTCATACTGCATGTATTATTCAATATTTGATTTTTTTATCAGTAACCAAGTAATGTATAATAATTCTTTAGAATTTCATTGAACTAGAAAGTACTAAGCATATTTTTCATTTTGCAACAAATTTCTTCTGCTTTTAATTTTTATCTAAAGTATAAATAAGTGCACCAGAAAATCAAACAGAAATTAATTAATTTTTTGTTTGTAAAAAATAATTTTGAGCATATTATATAAAAAAGTAAATTATCTTCAAGTGTATACACAAGAATTTAATACTAATCATATGGATTTTAAAATCATAGTCAATGCATTTGGATTTTATATGAGAAAATAAAAAGAGAACTAAGAACTCATTTTACTGATTTGTATAAATATTAACATTTAATATAGTGAAGCTATTTAATATTGAAAAAATTTCTAGATTTTTTGTTTCAGTTGGCTTTCAATTGTCTCTATTATGTTTTAGATATTATATTTAATCTTGTTTAAAGAAAATCAGGAAATACAAGTCAAGTAATAGAGTATAGAAAAAAACTGTGCAGAGCCTCAAGTTAAACTGCACAGGTTGAAGTCCTGATTCTGCCATGTGCTTGCTCAGCTGTGTTAATGAGGAAGTTATTAATCGGTCACTGGAAAGTTTCCTCTTTAGAAAAATGGGATAAAAATACTTGCCTCATAATTTTACTGTAAAGAAATCTAAAAATGATAAATGTAAGCTAAAACAGTGTCTTGCATTAGTAAATATTGTATGTGTTTTTGTTAGTCTTATTATGTAATAAAAACCATTAGATTCTGATTGATAATGGATTCATTTATAAACATTAGTCCTCATAGCAAAGTGATGTGGGATATTTTTCAGTTCAGCCTACCAAGTCTAGCTTTTAGTGGAATATAATGTCCAGGTCTAAAAATTGCTAATGATAAAGAGGAAAAACTCTTTTAAACAATAACCTTTGTAGGGGATTCAAAATTAAAGTAACTTTTTCTTATGTTTTTTTAAATTAAAAGTTCTTCAACATTTATGAACTTTGAATCTAATATTTTATAAGCAAATCTTAGCTTAGTGTACTAAGTCTGGAATTCAAGAAAATGACAAGGAATAAATCAGAGAACAGGACAACAGACTCTCAGATAAATGAGAGAGAGGACAATATTTCTATTAGTGGCATATTTTATTTTTCTGAAGGACAATATCATTATCATAGAGTGATGTGGTCTGCCATGGCTTGTTGCCTTTGAGTCTGTATCAGTGACCTTTGAGTCTCAAGTAGAGGACAAAGCAGGCACCCAGTGGCATTTTAGAAAACAAACCTGTGAGTTTTAGAAAACAAATGGTAGAAAAAAACTTAAGCAGTAAACATGAAAGTTTAAAGAGAGGAGAGAAGAAAGGTGTTTTCAAATTTATGTGACTCCCAGGAGATTTTGATGCCTTCCTCTAAAATCAAGTCTGTATTTAGAGCAATAACACGACCTAAGGATAAAGTAAGATGAATAGCCTGGTAATCTGTAGCTAGGATGTGACTTGGCAGGTTTGAAAACATGTGTGCAGTGGAGCCCTAAAAAAGCTGACAGTTTCAGGGATGTCTTAGTCCATTTTGTGCTGCTATAAAAACATACACCAGGATGGGTCATTTATAATGGGAAGACGCTTATTTATTAGCGTTCTGAAGGCTGGGAAGTCCAAGATTGAGTGGCCACATTTGTTGAGGGCTTCCTTGCTGCATCATACCTGGTGGAAAGAATCATATGGCAAAAGAGAGCAAGAGATTGAACTTACCACCTCAAACCCTTTTATAATTAATTCCTTCATGAGAGTGGCACCCTCATGACCTAACAACACCCATTAGGACCCACCTCCCAACACTGTTACGTTGGAAATTATGTATTCAACATGCTTTTTGTGGGACAGATTCAAATCATGTAGGGGTTTGAATGTGAAAAGGCATAACTCCTGCTTCTCCATGACTTCCCGAGGATGGCATAAAAAATCAAACGGGACAAAACGTGGGCTTTAGACTAATTCACCAAAGAGAAGAATCTTAACAAGGCTTATCAATAACTTAACAATGCTAAGTTAATATTAATATATGACATTTTTGCTGTACTTTGCTCTTAATCTTAATCTGTATTAATCTTCATGACAATCCCAGGGAGCAGTTCCGTTTACTATACCCTTTTACAAATGAGGAAACAATGGCACAGACTTACCTCCCAGGGTATATTCCGTTAGTAAGTAATGGGGTGTGTATTCAAATTCACACATTATGTTTAAACTGATGCTCAATGTGCATATTTTTAAAATTGTATATTGAGTGACCATTTCTTAAACATTGAGAATTAAAAAAAAAATCACAATGAAGTGGAGAAAAAAAGGCATTCAATTGTAGTAGACTATGTAAAATGAGGAAAAAAGTAATTCAGAGTTAAGGGCTAGAAATATGAATTTTAAAAGAACTGCAGAAAAGCAATTTTCCCTGGGATTTTAAGAATAAGTATAATTTAGCTATATTGAAAAACAGTGTGAGTGTATGTATGTATTTTTGTGCATGTATTTATGTGTGTATTTTAACAAACATGAGTTTGCATAGGTTAGGATTAGGGCAGTATTATAAATACAGTGGTTAGTAAAATGTCATTTAGGAAATACTTAAAAGTCTATGGTTGGATACTTGAGAAATTTAGATTATTTTTTAAAAAGTGTACATTTCAGATTATAAAGAAAAACTAATCAATAAAGAAACAAATTGATAAAGATGTAAATGTCTTACACAAGACCTGGTCACATCTCTGATCATTGAAGCCTCAGGTAAGATTTCAGGTGTTTGATTAGGTTTAATTTTTCCTGCTGTTTGAATCATTTCTCTTTCACAGGATGACTCTGTTTTCAGAGTAGTTTGGTATTAGAGTTTCATTAAAAAGAAGTTGTTCCCCATTTGTTCTTTCCTGCCCAGATATGACCCTTGGGAATATAGTCTGGAAACCTAATTTCCGTACAGCAATGGATAAGTCAAGGATCAAACATGGGAAGCATGCCAATATTTCATGTGCTGTAGATACAATTCATGTCAAGGAGAGAGAGCAAAGGGCAGGGCAGAAAGTGGACCCAGGAATTCTAATAGAAAAGCTGTATTTAGTCAGCTGAGTTGCTAGTATTATATGGATAGGTCCATTCTTTTAGGTGGCACAAAAGTAGAGCTAACATATGTGACATCTGTCATCATAAAAGCCAATTTTAATGTACATTTACCTTGATGTATTTCTGGAATAAAAAGTCAGAAAGTAAATATTCTTATATTGATAACTCTGCTTTGTTCATTTAAAACTAATTTTTGTACAATTAAAATTGAACAAGTTATATATATTGGGAAGCATTGAGTGGCTATAGATACATTGTAGTAATCTTAAATGTATTTAAAACTATACTAGGAAAGTGTATCACTTAGTGTTTTAAAGTAAGTTTAAGAAAAATTTGTTTTGTAAATAAAATAATGATCAGTAATAAGTGATGTGAAATTTTGCATTTAATTTTATTTTTTATAAAAAAGTAGATTAAAAAGTCAGCCATATCTCAAGAACATAGAATTTTAAAAATCATATAAAATACAAAATATATAATTTTATAAATTTATTTTAAACTATTTAATGTGAAAGAATTTCTCATTTATAGTCATTATCTTCCTAACATGCTAATTTACAACTACACTATAGTTTGGAAGGCAGAGGTTAGGAAGGTTGGTCAATTAAAATATCTACTCTAGAATTTTTAAAAAATTGACTTATAAAATCATTAAATATTTAAGGGCATATATCTCTCTCTGTTTTATGTTTTACAAAATCAAATATTTGAAAAAACTGTGTAGTGACATGGGTAGAATTTATCACCTTTTAAATGCTCAAAAATTTCTCATAAAACTAACATGAACATGGTATATTCTTTATAGAGATTTTTGGGTTGTTTTCTTTCACACTGATTTTTAAAATTTTTCAATGTACATTGGATATTATGTTATTCTAGAAATGTTTTAAAATGCTTGTTTTCAAATATTAAAATGTAAAGTTTCAATATATCTTCTCATTTTTATTATCTGCAAACTCTACCCTTATATTTTTCTTTCAACCTGCTTTTTGATGTGTTACTTCCTTAAAAAATGTGGGTGTTACCTATCAGTTTATCCTCTTTCCAAGAGTGTATAAGAACCCCTAACTTGAAACACAAAAAAATTGAGATTTTTACCATTCTCATAATATTTTTAAAAAATTTTGTTTCATATGCAATTGTACTAATAATGTCAATTTTTTATATGTTAGTAAGACCATTTTTGCTGCTTTCTTTGCATTGTATGTGTATTTGACATTTTGTTACAGTTTTTAAATTGGCTCATTGAAAGTATTTATACTTTATAAAATCAATCATTTTATTACATATAATGTAAGTACTAACCAATTCTTTATTATATTTGAATTTTATAGTTATCGTACAAACAATATTACTTATCACTTTAAAGAAAGAGTATTATTATTATTATTATTATTATTATTATTATTATTTGAGATGGAGTCTAGCTCTGTCACTCAGGCTGGAGTGCAGTGGTGCAATCTCGGCTCACTACAACCTCCACCTCCCAGGTTCAAGCGATTCTCCTGGTTCAGCCTCTCAAGTAGCTGGCACTATAGGTGCACGCCACCATACCCAGCTAATTTTTTTGTGTTTTTAGTAGAGACAGTGTTTCACCATGTTGGCTAGGATGGTCTCGATCTCTTGACTTCGTGATCTGCCCAACTCGGCCTCCTAAAATGCTGGGATTACAGGCGTGAGCCACTGCACCCAGCCAAATACCATTATTTCGTTAATTATCTTGATTTCATCATTCCACAATGTACACATATATCCAAACATGACGTTGTACTTAATAAATATATACAATAAAAATGACTTAAAATGTATTATTATTTTTCCTTACTATTGCAAGTTATTTTGTTTTGCTTTTATTCATACGTCCTGTATTCCCTTTGAATAAGTCAATTTTCTTAAATACAATCTTCAATTTTTCTATTATAGTCATTCCATCAAATTTTTATATATAGTATTTTATATTTTTCATTAAGTTTTTTATCTCATTGGTATTGTCTGTCTTGCCAACAAAGTGAACTGTAATAATGCTATTGTGTTTTTACTTTCCCTTAATTTCTCCTTTCCTCTAATTCCCTTGCATATTACATTATTTAACATGCATCAAATATATTTTGTCTTTGTGCCTTTCTGAATGTACTTAATAGAAAAAATTCAATTTTCTTTATAGAATGAGTAACATAATATATTTCATTCATCTATTAATCATTAACCATTTTATTTAATGATAATGTACCAAAGACTTCATATATTTTGAATTATGCTCTGTTCTGGAGATATAGCAAAAAAAAAAAAAAAAAGGAGCATAGCTTTCTCAGCCATGTGACAAATAAACAAAAATGCAGGTTAGGTAGAGATAGTGCCTATAAAGAAAATTAGTAAAAATGGGAGCAAATAATTAAAATATTAGAATTGACTGAGCTCTCCAATGGAGAGACAACAGAGAAGATACCTAAAAGAAGTAAGAAATTCACCCAGCTAAGTATCTGGAAGAAGGTTATTCTGGGTAGAGGGAACTTAAAGTGAAAATCACCTGAGATAAATCAAGCTCCTTTAGTGTGAAGAACTGCAAGTAATCCAGTGTTGTGTAATATTTCACAGATGAATATATTATCCTTTCTTGACAGTCAACCATTATTGAGCATTTAAACTGTTTCTTATTTTCTTTTATACATTGTGAATATGGCTGCTATAAATAAAATTTCACATATTTTCTCTTCTAAATGTGAGAGTTTATTTTGGACATATCCCTAGGAGAAGAATTCTAAGGCGGGGGAAATGTGAATATTCAAATTCAAATGATAGCACAAAACAAATTACCAAAACCATTTCATCGTTTTCCACTCCAACCAAAAATGTACATAATATGTGCACCATGTGTGCTGCAACAATTGAAATGATCAGATTTTCAATTTTTGCAGTCCACATGTGAATCAATTGATTTCTCATTGTTGTCTTAATGTGGGAATAACTTAATATATTATAGTTTTAGACAGACACTTAATATGTTATAATTGTAAAATGTCATAAAATGTCAATTGTAAAATGTCATAAAATGAACTTTTTATATTTATCGCAATACTTCTCGGTAAGATATAGGTGGAAAAAATAATGATGTGAGTATTTGTTTAGTATCTTCTATACTTACAGAATTCCATCTTTCTCCTATACTGGTCATTGCTTATCACTGTAATATCATAATATATGATATATAATGATAAACTTTAAGTATCTTTATAATCATTTAGAGTTCCTTATATATCTACAGAGCTGTCTGCCATGTAAGTATATAAGATTTCTTTAAAATCTCTTTTATAACATGCAAAACATTTTTTTACATTTTTTATGCTGGTATTGATTTTTAAAGACTTGCCTGGTCTTAACTGGATGTGCCAAATGTATTAGGAGACATTATTATAACTTCGTTTAGAAATGCTTTCCTTTTGAGTTCTACAGATGGATCTGGGGAGAACATTAGGTATTTCCTAACAAACTGAAAAATTATCTAGACTGTAAAATTTTGCCCTGCCATTTTTCAGGTGGGAATAAAAGACTCAAGAAAAACCAACTGCAAAGTTGACAGGCACCAATACCTCTCAGGACACACTGTAGTTGTAAAGTGTCATAACAATTTCTTTCTTTGAGAGACTACTGCTTTCTTACTCCCGGGGTTAATACAGTTTTCTAAAATAGACTATCATAAAATTTGCTGTTTGAAATGTTGTCGGTAAGAAAGAAGTATCCCCATGTTTGAAGGATCTAAGTCACATTGACAGAGTAAAGCAGTTTTGATTTAAAACCCAGGTAAACCCCAGTTTTCTGATCATGACATTACACATCTATCTTAACTTCAAAGTCTCGAAAGAAAGAGAACGCAGGACCAGGTTGCATTCCAGAACTAATTATTATCACTATATTCGCGGCCTTTCTTTGTTTGAACTTCTCAAAACACTGTTTCATTGAAATGTCAACTAATTCTCACTATACACACATATTCTATAAGAACTCTATTTCTTCTTGCTTTGGGGAGAGGCACAATGGTTCCTCTGATGTGCAGCCTCCTTCATTGCAACGATTCATTAAATACCATATATTTACCTAATGGTTTTAAGACTATTTGGAGGTTTTACATACAATCAACTGTGACCCTGACTGTCATAGACTGAGGCCTTCGATTTATTTAGAAAGTATACAACATGAGACAAATTTAAAATAAGCAAAATGTGAGAAGAAAACCAAAAATAAAAATCAAAATATGTCACCTCAATCATCAATAACTTGAATGTTCTTAAATAGGTATTTACATTTGTGAAAACATCATTCAGGCTCTTGTTCAAAAAATTCAGAAAAAAAAAGCAGTAGACAAAAATAAAAGCAGATTAATGTGATTCCTACCAAAATTTCAAAGCTATTTTGCTCAGAAATAGGAAAAACAATTTTAAAGTTTGTATGGGGTTATAAAATATTCCTAATAGCCAAAACAACTTGGAGAAAAAAAAAAGTCGGAAGCACTACACATCTTGATTTCAAATTATATTACAAAGCTATAGTTCTTAAAATGATATGGTATTGTCTTAACAAAAAAGACAGATAAACCAATAGAACCCAATAGAGAGCTCAGAAATAAACCCAACCATATATGGTTAACTAATTTTCAACAAGGTCACCAAGAAAACGCAATGGGGAAATGATAGTCTCTTCAATAAATGGTGTTGAAAAACTATAGCCACATGCAAAATAATAAAATTGGACTTTTATTATATACTATATCCAATAAGCAATTCAAAATGTATTAACAACCTAAATGTAAGACCTAAAACCATAGCATTTCTAAAAACAGGGGAACAGCTCCTTGACTTTGGCCATGGCAACAATTTTTTGGATATTACATCAAAGGCACAGGTAACAAAAGAGAAAGTGAACAAGAGGAACATCAAATTAAAAAATAATTGTACAACACTAAAAACAATCAGCAAAATTAAAAGACAATCTGCCAGGCATGGTGGCTCACACCTGTAATCTCAGCACTTTGGGAGGCCCAGGTGGGCAGATCACTTGATGTCAGGAGTTCAAGACCAGCCTGGCCAACGTGGCAAAACCTAGTCACTACTAAAAATACAAAAAAAAAGACAAAAAAAATAGCCAGGTGTGGTGGTGCATGCATGTAATCCCAGCTACTTAGGAGGCTGAAGCAGGAGAATCGCTTGAACCCGGGAGGAAGAGGTTGCAGTGAGCCAAGATCGCACCATTGCACTCCAGCCTGGATGACAAGAGTGAGACTCTGTCTCCAAAAAAAAAAAGACAATCTATGGAATGGTGAAAAATACTTGGAAACCATATATCTGATAAGGGGTTAATATCCAGAATATAAAAGGAACTGACAGAACTCAATAGCAAAAAGCCAATAATACAATTTAAAAGTGGGCAAAGAACCTGAATAGGTATTTCTCAAAAGAAGACGTTCAAATGGCCAGCAAGTATATGGAACACATCACTAACAATCAGAAAAACTGCAAATTAAAATCACACTGAAACATCACCTCACATCTGTTAGAATGGCTACTACAAAAAAATAAAAGATAATACGTGTTGGAAAGGGTGTTGGGGAAAGGGAACTGTTGGTCTCTGTTGCTGACAATGTTAATTGGTTAGCCAATGTGGATTACAATATGCAGGTTCCTTAAAATTAAAAATAGAATTACTATATGATACAGCAATCCTACTATGGGGTATATATCCAAAAAGATGACATTAATATGTTAAAGAGATATCTTCACTCCCATGTTTATATGGGAAGTCTAAAAAATAGCTGAATACATAGAACAGTGGTTACCAGAGGTAAGAGGGTGGGAGAATGGGTAAATTAATATCAAAAGGTACAACATTGTAGTTATGCAGAATGAAAAAATCTAGGGATCTACTGTACAGCATAAGGACCATTGTTAATAACATTTTATAGTATAGTGGAAATTCACAGAGTAGATTTTAGATACTCTTACCACACACAAAAAAGAAGAAATCTATGTTAGATGAGAACTATATTAATTTGCTTGACTATACTATTTGTTACACTATGGATGTGTATATCAAAACATTATGTTGTACACAAATATATACAATAAAATATTTTTAACAGAAAAAAATAGAAATTTAAAAAATGTCTCAGCAATGTAAACTAAAATACAGTGTGTCCAATGGAGAACTGATGCCATTAAAAATATACTGATGTGAATAAATGATTTTCTATTATTTAAAAATAAAAGCTTCATATAATTTTATATTCTGTGAGCACCAAAAATCTATCACTACTGATATCCTTGTGAATCATTGTATCCAATTGTATTAGCCAAGGTTCTCCAGAAAACCAATAAGATATATATAAATTCATATCTATACCAATACTGGTCATCTGTTCATCTAGCTGTCATGTACTCTCTATAGATTTTTTTTAAATTTTAAATATTTGGCTTGTGTGAGCCTGTAGGTCAGACTGAAAGTCTGAAAATTGGAATAGTTGATGTTCCAGTCTTGCATCTAAATTCCCAATGATTAGGGCAATTAGAGCAAAACGTGGCACCTAAGGCAGGGTTTCTAGGTTCCAGTTTTGATAAGAATCTCTTTTTCTTTGGACAACTTCAGTCTTTGCTCTTAAAGCCTTCAACTGATTGGGTAAAGTCTACTCACATTACAATAGTAATCTTAATTACTCAGTCCATTGATGTTAATGTTAATCACATTAAAAAAAACACAAAACTTCACAGCAACATCTAGACTGTCATTTGACCAAACAACCATTAACTGTGGCCTAGCCACATTCTCATATAAAATTAGCCAGCAAAACAGTGTATAGGGCCGATTAATTTTTGCATGGGTTCATTACTTTTTGATTGCTTTCTATGAGGACCTTGTTTATATAGTGTTGATTATATCTATGTCCCTAATTTATGCTTTTGAAGATTAAAAACAATAGCAAGTTAATGAGAAATAATGATGCATAGAAAATGGTTGCACGTACAGAAATCCTAAAATATGTTTTTTATGTAGTTTCATTCATGATCATCTTCATCATTTTCACCCAAAACTATGTGTTGCAGTACTAGATATAAAGTCACAGTATTTTATCTCAGAGGAAAGTAGATAAGACATAAATGTTAGTGGGTCTATATGAGAGCCGTAGTTTTATTTCCCAAGTGTTTGTTATATTTATGGAATTCATTATACCATGGCATTACTTTACTGCCCAATAAGATCCCAATTGCCTTGCCTTATTTCATTTTAATGGCCATTTTTTAAAGTAAATTTTCTCTTCATGCTATCTGAATGTGTACCCAGAATGGGTGTGCATATATGTGCATCTCACTTGACTTGGCACATGTCTCTGCTCATGTTCAAATTTCTAGTTCTATATGGTAGTATTATAAGTGTTTAATTCTGCTCTTTTCATTTGATTAATTCTGTTGATGAGTTTCCCACATCGTTCTGGCAAAACACCACTTCTTATTTTAATGTAGCTCTCATAGATTACTTACTATAGATATTGAAAGTTTGCTACCGGTTGTTTTTCTAGAAAATCTTCTGAATTTCTAAATTACTTAATTCCATAAATGTATATTTACAGAATAGTTTTTCTCTTGTCACTTATGTTCTAGGACAAATGTCATTCATTAATGTATTCACTTATAGATTTTTATACTTTCATTCAATAAATATTACATTTCTAATGTATGAACCGTGACAGAGTTTGAACATTTAATCTATAATGTTCTGTAAAACTATCTATTGGCCCTATACAACATGAATCTGTCAAAATTTAGAACACAGTTAAATTGTTTAATAAGTAAGAAACATAGCATAGAAACTAAGTACTAGATACTGTTTATTCATCCTTCTCAATTATATGTTTCTTCATGGATGAAAAACCTAAAATTAGAAGGGTATGTTTTATGCCAGTTCTATTGTAAAATATATTTGTTAAAATTTTTGTATAAGTAGAGTGAACCTAAAAATATGAAATACATTGTGAAATACACATTTATAACATCAGATAATATAATAAAAACATGCACTTGACTAACACAAGAGATATTCCTGTAATATAAGAAATACAAATACATATATATTTTTATATGTGTGTATATGTGTTTTTATATATATATATATATATATATATATATGAAGTATCTATAGAATCTCTGGTACTAGAATGTGATTGAATGGAACAATTATTCATGGGTGTATTTTATTTCATTGAGTCTCAGAAATGGAGATTTGTTTCTTATGATAGCCAAATATTCAAATTTAGGAATAACATTTGACAAAAACTCATATATAGGAAGGTACACATACGAGGAAAGCAACCATAAAATTGTTTGGTAGGCTTATATGGGTTTTCCTTTTTCAGGGAATATTAGTTACAATGCTAATAGGTACTTGTATGATATGCAAAAACTATTTAATATACTTATTTGATCACATATATTTTATTTTAACCTTCAGCATGATGAATCTAACTTTAACTCTTTAAAAAACTTGTAGTTACTACAATTAATTGAGTTTTAAATCAAACAGATATTTTAATAGCCTTTGGATTTAATAATGTACTATCCAAATATATTTGGGGATTAATGAACTTCTCAACTTTGGTCCTTTAGAAAGGAAATGATGAACTCATGCAATTTATTTTAAAAGTATATTCTTATGTTTCTTTTCATAGAATTAACTTTGCTTTCTTTTCTCCCTAACTTTTGTATTGCAAATGTAATTTGTTTCTTGAATGTTTTAAATATAAATTATATATATGCTATTAGATTAGTTACTAAGTATAGTTTCTGAATATGTAGAGGTACAGTTATTTAAGTTTTTGTTACAATTATTAATTATGAAATGTATGCTTCTTTTAACTAACATTTTTATTTAATAAATTAACATTAATGAATACTATATTTTCAGGTTCTTCATATTTACGTTCCACATTCTTTTTCTACTGAGATTTAATGATAGTTCAATTCTGAATAAAATAAAAATCTAAATAACCTCAAAGTATATTTGATTAAATCAGCATATCTAAGTGTTTTTATTTCTTCAGAATCTTGGTATACTGATTTTTAGAGACATCTGCTTTCATCATTTCATCTCATGTTTGCTTTGATAACTGAATTTCTTCCTGCTCTTTAGTCTGAAAATTGTAGGTCAGAAGTCCCAAATCAATCTCTGGCAGAGGTATTCAACTTGGAAAAAATAACTCTGTCTACTAAAAATCTGCTACAGACATTAAAATATGTATTATAGTCCATCAAATCTTCAGTCTCTACTTAATGCATTTCCTGGAAAAAAAAACTTATAATTCAAGAGTCTAAAATTTCCTTGGAAGATAATGCGATCTTTAATGTCAGCGTTGTCTATACCTAGTGTTCCTCTATCTCAAAAACCAAAGAAGTGGCAAATACTGTGCATATGTTCTGAACAAATGTATTTAATTAAATAAAACCATTGTTTTAAGGGAAATGCTTTGTAAAGTAAGAGGTAGAATATTCATATTCAAAAGAGTTTGTATGTCTTTACACCCATGTGGATATGTGGCATGGTTGAGTGGTAACTAATCATGACATTGATATTAAACATTTAATAAATGCAGTATGTGACAAATGAAAGTTTCTTAATCTGAATTTTTTAATAAAGAGAAACATATATATATTTTTTCTCTCTGTTACCTTGCCATATTTTTATAAATATTAAATATATTTTCACTTTCCAATTTAACCTTCTATGATATATATCATATTATATGTTTTTTCCATAATACATATTGTCTTAAATATATTTTGCTAAATACTGATTATTTTGTTCTTTTTTGTCTAGGCAACACAGATACTCATAAGTTTTAAGCTTTACATTTTTCAGCTCCACTCTTATAAAGAAAACACATTATATATAAGCACATACATATTTTATAATATTCAGCATCGTGTAACCTGGTTATAGGTATAAATATTTCAAAGAGCTTGTGAATAAGTTGTTTTTATATACAACTTTTATTATTATTATTATTTGAGACAGAACTTAGCTCTTGTTGTCCAGTCTGGAGTGCAATGGCCCGATCTTGGCTCACTGCAACTTCCACCTCCTGGGTACAAGCGATTCTCCTGCCTCAGCCTCTTGAGTAGCTGGGATTACAGGCATGTACCACCATGCCCAGCTAATTTTTGTAATTTTAGTAGAGACGGGGTTTCACCATGTTGGTCAGGCTGGTCTCAAACTCCTGAACTCAGGTGATCCACCCCCCTCAGCCTCCCAGAGTGCTGGGGTTACAGGTGTGAGCCACCACACCCAGCCTATATACAACTTTTAAATGAGAAACAATACTGGAGACATTTTCTTAATTGCTGCCTCTTAGATATCTGTTAATTTTATCTGTTACCCTATTAGCTTTCTTCTAGTGCTTCTCTCGTCAAATTAAGATTATTGCTGCTGCTTCAGTTATTATTCTCAATTTCCAGAAAGAATAACATAGGAGATTGCACAGATAAAGACGTGAAGTCTATATCAGAAAAATCCACTTTCATATAAATCACTTGGAGCATTCTGTTTACATTTATTGTTATTAATGCAGTTGTTTTTGTTGTGAAACTGTTAAACAATCTTATTTGTGAGCTGGACAATATTTCTAAGAATAATAAGGAGAAGTGGATTCACCACTAGATAATAGGTTATAAAGTATTTTGAATCCAGAAACCTGAAATCATAAATGCTCCAAAATTCAAAACTTTTTGAATGCTGACACGACAAAACAAATAGAATATTCCACATCAGACATCATGTGATGTGTTACAGTCAAAATGCAGTCAAAACTTCATTTTATGCCAAAAAAATATTTAAAATATTTTATACCATTACCTTCAGGCTATGCATATAATCTGAATATTAAATGTAAATTTTAAAAATTTGTGTTGAGATTTTGGCCCCATCCCCAAGACACCACATTATGTGTATACAAATATTCCAAAGTCTGAAAAAATCAAAAATCTGAAACACTTCTTGTCCCAAGTATTTTGGATACAATGTTCTATCTGTATATTGTGTTCCAAAACCAAACAAAACTGGGATTCACTAATTATAGGATGTTGCAAAGATAAACAATAAAGTATTCCATGGTTATTCTGTACACATAATAAAAACTATTTACCAATCATAAGTATACATTTTAAAATTAACAAGACTTTTTTCACCAGATAATAGATTTATAATTTTTTACATTTGTGTTAAGAGAACAAGGACTAATTTTCAAAAAGCATGAATGAACCAAAGTAGGTTTTCCAATATAATAAAATAATTGATATAGTTTTAAAGTTTAAAAAATTTGTAGTCAGTTTTGAGAATAATAAAAATTGATAAATCTATAACAAAATTATATTAAAAGGTCTGTAAAATTAGATACCAGGATTTATGTGCACTAATGACTGTGTTCATTTAAAAATTATGCTGGATTTTCCTTTTCAACATCACAGTTAATAGAAAGGTTCATTTTGAACACTTTCCTCATAGAAATAAGAGGTTCTCCTGGATATGAAGGCACTAAGTATTCTTGCATTATGTTACTCCTCTGATGATGTACTTTAACTGTTTTTAACTCTGGAAAATTTAATTATTATTATTATTATTATTATTATTATTTTTTTTTTTTTTTTTTTTTTTGAGACGGAGTCTCGCTCTGTCGCCCAGGCTGGAGTGCAGTGGCGGGATCTCGGCTCACTGCAAGCTCCGCCTCCCGGGTTCACGCCATTCTCCTGCCTCAGCCTCCCAAGTAGCTGGGACTACAGGCGCCCGCCACTACGCCCGGCTAATTTTTTGTATTTTTAGTAGAGACGGGGTTTCACCGTTTTAGCCGGGATGGTCTCGATCTCCTGACCTCGTGATCCACCCGCCTCGGCCTCCCAAAGTGCTGGGATTACAGGCGTGAGCCACCGCGCCCGGCCGAAAATTTAATTATTTTAACCATTTCTTTACCTTTAAATTTAATGAAATTTTGATGCTAAGAAGATGTGTTGCATGTAATACTCCTAGGAATATCACCAAATATACTCTAATAAAGAATCAGTTAAAACTGTATTTTTTAATTGTTATTATCATTTATACCATAACAATTTCTTGATTCAGTGTTATTAAAATAACTGTGTAATTAAAATGGCAGTATCACAAATATAATAAATGTTGCTAATTTATTGAGTAGTACTCAAGTGTCCTGTGATGAGTTACAAAAACGCAAGTTAAAAAGTACAAGACAATTGCTATACTAGGAAATATCAATTACCTATCTTTCAACTATCAACCTTGCATATTCAGAAATCCAGTGTTCTGGTCACTGAAAGCTGCTCTTTATGTAAAATAAACATTTTCCTGTAATATGTATAAACTGAATGCAGTAAACAAAAATGAAGATGTATTTTATAGTTCTCAATTTTTGGTGACAACTGAGATCAAGAAATAAAATGAAGGCTGGACACAGTGACTCATCTTTAATCCCAGTACTTTGGAAGGCTGAGTGGGGTGGATTGTGTGAGGTCAGGAGTTTGAAACCAGCTAGAAGCAACATAGCTAGACCTAATCTCTACCAAAAAAAAAAAAAAATATATATATATATATATATATAAATTAGCCAGGTGTGATGGCTCCTATCTGTAGGCCCAGTTACTCAGGAGGTTGAGATGGGAGGATCACTTGAATCCAGGAGGTCAAACCTGCAGTAAGCCATAGTCACGCCACTGCAATAGAGCCTGAAAAGCAGAGTAAGACTCTGTCTCTAACGTAAATAAATAAATAAATAAAACAAATAAATAAAATGAAGGATTCTGCATGTAAGCAGACCCATGTTATTACAAACATGTGTCCTCAATGATTTTGGTTTTAATATGATTATATGAAGCTATGACTATTGAGCATAAACACATGAAAATTGGGACTTTCACACTTTTATATCTGTAACATTGAATTCTTATTGTATTTTAATTTTTAAAGTAAAATAATTCTTATTCTTAATTGTATAACCCTCTATTAAATTTGCATAAGAGTTTTCATTATATTAAGACTTATGATTTTAAAATAACTTTAGAAACGAATGCATAAAAAAGCCAGTTTTTACTATTATTAAAACAATCTAATCATTAGAATTAAAAACATGTATAATACTTGCTAGGAAAATAAAATTGACCTTTGGTTCTATATCTTTTGGATACTAGTAATGTTTATCATGTATTAATTAATTAGGGAGAAAATGTGAAGACTGTATTTCAAGCAAGAGAAATGGTCCTCCAACAAAATAGATAGACAAATATGATTATATTTTAGTGTGTAGGCTATTAGCATTAAATATTTTATAGAATTTATTCTAAAATATGTCTTTTGAGCTAATAAAATTTGTTATGTGAATAAAGTTTTTTGAAAATTATCTATTCTATAATTGCAGACTCGTAACATTGTATTTGAGGTATACTCAGTAACATTTTCCTTTTATGTTTTCTTTTTCCTCTAATGTGCTGTTAATGGACTTTCCTATCAATAAGGCAAAATTTTGCAACATAACTTGCTGTAACTAGAATATCAGCTTGTCTCTTCATCTGGACATGCCAAATAATGTAAAGGAACTATTTTCTAGTTATTAAAAACAGTAATTGCTGTCTGAATATAAGAGGCTTTGACTCTGTAATTACCACACGATGATAATATAGAAGAGGATAATTGCTTCTTTTTTTAAATTGGTTTGAAAAGGCTACGTTCTATATAATTCTGTGTAGTCTTACCATTTCATCCCATGATAATGGATGAAACTGCTACAAATTGTCAATAAATGACTGAGCTTCCATTCCACTTCTTAAAATAGTTGTAATCAATAGAATTAATTAAAATGAATTATTATATTTTATAATTGTAGATTTATTTTTTAGGCATTCTAATAGGAGTTCGGTGGTATCTCTTTGTGTGTGCTGTTTTATTGAGACATAATTCACATTTCATATTATTCATTCTATTTAAAAGTATACAAATTACTAGTTCTTAATATATTCACAAGATTTTGCAATTATCATTCCTCTCTATTAAATAATTATAAGAAATTTTCATCACCCCCCTAAAATCCCCACACTTATTAGCCATCATTCTCAATTACCCCTTAGCTCCATCCCCTGACAACTACTAATCTACTTCTATGAATTTGCACATGCCAAACATTTCATAAACAGAAATCATACAATATGTGGTCTTTTGTGTCTGTTTTTTTTTTTTTCACTTAGCTTACTATTTTAAAGGTTCATCTATGTTGTAGCATGTATCATTCTTTTTTGTTGTTTTATTTAAAGTGGAACTTTGTGAGATTCTTTTGCATTATTTAATTTTATTTTAAATTCAGGGGTACATGTGCAAGTGTGTTATATATATAAATTTGTATCATGGGGATTTGTTGTACAGATTATGTTACCTCCCAGGTATTAAGCTTAGTACTCATTAGTTATTTTTTCTGATCCTCAACCTCCTCCCATCCTCCACCCTCTGATATGTCCCAGTGTGTGTTGTTTTCCTCTTTGTGTCCATGTGTTCTCATCATTTAGCTCCAACTTATAAATAAGGACATGTGGTATCTGTTTTTCTGTTTCTGTTTTAGTTTGCTAAGGATAATGGCCTCCAGCTCCATCCATCCATGTCTCTGCAAAGTACACGTATTAGTCAGGGTTCTCTAGAGGGATAGAACCAATAGGATATATGTATATATTAAAGGGAGTTTACTAAGGAGAATTGACTCACACAATTATAAGGTAAAGTCCCATGATACACTGCCTGCAAGTTAAAGAGCAACTAAGCCAGTAGTGGATGAGTACAAATCCCAAAACCTCAAAAGCAGGGAAGCCAACATTGCAGCCTTCAGTCTGTGAAAGGGCCAAGAAGCCCTGGCAAACTCCTGGTGTAAGTCCGAGAGTCCAAAAGCTGAAGAACTTGGAGCTTGATGATGAGGGCAGAAAGCACCCAGCACAGGAGAAAGATAAAGGCCGGAACTCTCAGTAAGTCTGCTTTATTCTAGCTGGGCTGGCAGTTGATTAGATAGTGCCTACCCACAATGAGCGGGGGCGGGGTCTTTCTCTCCGAGTTCACTGACTCAAATGTTTATCTCCTTTGGCAACACCCTCACAGACACACCCAGGAGCAATACTTTACATCCTTCAATCCAATCTAGTTTACACTTAATATTAACCATCACGGGACATGATCTCATTCTATTTTATGGCTGCGTAGTATTCCATAGTGTGTTTGTACCTTTTTTTTTAACCCAGTCTACCATTGATGGGCATTTAGGTTGATTCCATGTCTTTGTTATTGTGAATAGTACTGCAATGAACATATGTGTGTATGTGTATATAATAGAATGCTTTATATTTCCTTGGATATATACTCAGTAATGGGATTGTTGTGCTGAGTGTATTTCTGTCTTTAGGTTTTTGAGGGATCATTTTTTCTACAGCCAAACAGTATCCTATTTTATCATTTAACTATGGCACATTTAGGTTATTCATTCATCCCGTCATGATGTTTTATTTATCTTCCATTTTTGTCTATTATGACAGTGCTATGCTTCTACAAATATTGTTTACAAGCTTTTGCATGACTTTGTGTTTTTAATTATCTTCTTAATATATTTCCAGCTATAGAACTGCTGAATCATATTTCAATCTTAAGTTTAACTATCTGAATAATTGCCAAAATGTTTTTCAAAGTAAGTATAAAGTATTAAATTTTCCCCAGCTGTGAGTCGGAGTTCTAAGAATTTCATATCTTTGTCAACTTTTACTATTGTCCATCAATTTGATTATAGTGATTCTAGTGTGTGTAAAAGGTATCTCCTTGTGGTTTTGTTTTGTTTCATTATCTGCCTTCTTTTTGAAGAACTTCTATTCACATTGTTTACAGTAATGATTGCTGACAATAAATTATGAAGATTTTTGTTTATCTGGTAATGTATCTATTTTATGATCACTTTTGAAGGATAAGTTTATTGGTTATCGAAGTCTGGATTGTTTTTTAAATTGTAGCTTTTTTAGCTCTTTAAATATTTCACTGTTCTTTTTTGTATGGTTCATATTGAAACGTCTTATGTAATTCTTATGCCTGTTCTTCTAAAATTACAATCTTGTATTCCCTCTGCCTGCTTTAAAGATTTTCTCTGTCTTTGTTCTTCTGCAGTTTGAATATGATATGCATAGGTTTATATATTTTTAAAAAAATATGTTAATCCTGGCTCATGATCTCTGAGCTTTCTGAATCTGTTGTTTGTGTCAGTCACAACTTTTGTAATATTCTTGGTTATTATTACTTTCAATATTTCTTCTATTCTGTTTTCTCTTTAGTTCTGGTAATCCAGTTATACATATCTGATGCCTTTTGAAATTATTCCACAGTTCTTGAATATTCTCTTTCTTTTAATTCTTTTCTATTTTGTTTTTCCAATTGGGAAGTTCCTACAGACATGGGACTTCAAAGTTAAACTATAAACTAAACTCCTCCCATTATCATCTTGTACTATTCTTAGGAATGAGAAAACACAGCCAGCCTGTGAAGCTGGAAGTAAGATGGAGTCAGTCACATTGATGCAGGATTTTTCTCGGTCGCTTTGTCAGCCAGGAACCTCCACATCCAGGGACATCCCTGCCCAGAGCCTCACTCAGCCCTGACCCTGCTGCAGAGGTGCCTCATCCACTCAGCCCACTGGACCACACCTGGCTTGCACACCGGCTCAGATCCCCCACATGCCACAGTAGGGCCTGGCGTGCCCCAGTCCATCTGTGTTACAGCTCATATCTGTGTTCAGTGGTTACCAAGTTTTTGTCCCACATCCAAGAATGAGGTTACACTGACCTGATGATCGAAGGATGAGGTGGGTGAAGAAAAAGTTTATTATGCAATGCAACAGCTCTCAGCAGAGAGGGGACATGAGGGTGGTCACCCACCTAAAGTCAGGAGTTCTATGCCCCAGTGTGGCTGGGCACAGCGCTTTTATGTGCTTAAAATAGGGAAGTGTGTGCTGATTGGTTTGTGAGTAGGCAAAAAAAAGAAAAAGAAAAGGCTAAAACAAAGGCACCACTCAAAGGTGGACACAACAGTGTAAAAAAAAACAATTAGGGAAGGGGAGGTACTTGTAAAATAGGTAAAGGATGAGGATCAATCAAAGGAAAGCATGCCAAACAGGAAGAGAGGTTCTCAATCTGGTCTGTGGAATTTTACTTGTAGCTTGGCTTTCAGGCTTTAAACTGGCTTTGGCTTGAAGGTGGGCTTTAACTGGGGATCCACCCCTGTCTGCCTAGGCATCTGACTGCTTCCCCCTGCTATCATTCCCTCCTCTCAAGAGGTACATCTAACTGCCATTAGAATAAAAATGATGGCCACTCTTAACAGCTTCATGCAGACAGGCAGTGCTGTTCTGAGTAAAGGGTAATAAGATCTCCCTCAGAGGCCTAAGTGTCTTGGGTAAAAGGCAGCTATCATCCAAGGCTCCGGTTGCTTGGTCATTTGGAGGTCAGTGGCCTGAAGGTGAGAAGAGACACACCACGTTATCAGAAGATAACCTAACAAAACAAGGGGGTAAGGACATTTCAAAAGACCTGAAGCTGCCAACATGCCTCAATAACTGGTAGCTATAGTTATGCTTGCTAAGATTTGGGTGCATGGGGTTTGCCATTGGTTAGCTCCCTTGGTCTTATTTTCCAAAAAAAAAAAAAAAACCTCCAGGTTATGGGCAGTCTATTTACCCCTATCACCTGGAAGGATTTGAGGATAATTGCCCAGAACTAGAATATTGATTCAGATTTTAACATTACCCATCCCTTTTGTTTCTTCTGAGCTGTAGCCAGAGATCACTGGTTGGTTATCAGGATTAAGTAGAGTTAGTTTAAAATGCAGACACAAATTAAAAATTAATTAATGAGATTAGAATGTAATGACAAGTGCATGATAAGTTTTGAAACATAACTTTTCTCTCTCCAATTCTCATTTTTTGTCAAAAACAAATCAAGATAGGACTGATTTGTTATTTGTTTGCAAAATAAACTTCAATCTTGTATTTTGCTAGATTAGTTGCACAAAGTGCAGCAAGAATAATTCACACAGGCTGGAGTGCAGTGGCATGATCTCAAGTCACTGCACCCTCTGCCTCACAGGTTCAAATGATTCTCATGCCTCAGCCTCTCAAGTAGCCAGCATTACAGGCATGCACCACCACACCCAGCTAATTTTTGTATCTTTAGTAGAGATGAGTTTTCAGCATGTTGGCCAGGCTGGTCCTTAACTCCTGGCCTAAAGTGATCCTGTCCACCTCAGCATCCCAAAGTACTGGGATTACACGGATGAGACATGGCACCTGGCCCATATAGGTCTTTTAAATTGGCTCTGCTCAAATTCTGTTCAATAAGGAATATCAGATAAGACTTTTTAAAGCTGAGCCCAGCCATGGGTTTGTACCCTCAAATAACTATGAGTTGGGTAAATTTTTATTTTCTTGAGGTCCCAAGATAACTTGGGGCTCCTGGGACTGTTAGAAAGTGATATTCTTTACTCACCACAGGTTAGGAACCCTGTACAGGGACTTTGTAGACAAGATCTGAGGCCAATTTTTCCAAGGGGCTTTTATTGGCTCTGCAAGTCAAGCTTGATTCCTTAAAGGGAAACACACTCTTTCAGTCAAAACCCTGGTAAAACAACCAGTTTCTCCAATTACATCTTGTTGCAAAAGAAAATAGATTCTTACTGTACTTATGCAAACAACTATATTGCCATAAGTTAAGAATACTCACAAATACTTTGCAAATTCTGGAGAAACAAACATGCTCTAAATTTTGTTCACAAGAGCATACCTTATTCAATTGTTAAAAAATGTATTCTACCTTTGGGTCCCTCAGAGCTAATTTTCCTTTCCAAGGCTTCAACCTGAAGCTTGGAACTGAATTTGGGACAGAAAGGTGCCTCAAGAGGGTGCATGGACTTATTAAGTTAACTCCCAGTTGGGCCTTACCTAACTGAAGTGAGTGCCTGGTGGGGTCACTCCTCCATTGCTTCCTTATTATAGGCAGAATGCTAAGGTGAAGCTGTGGAACCAGGTTCTCTTCAAACAAGGGAGAGAAAAGGAGTCGTGAGAAGTGGGGACTTGGCCTAGTAAGATGCTCTCCAAAAGGAAATGACCTCTCACATAAAAAAGTTTCCTGTCTTCTCAGGGCTATGTTAACTCCTGATATGGTGGAGAGAAGAGAGAAAAAAAAGAAAAAAAAAAAAAAAAGCTTAAGGGCAGGGTGAGAAAGGTACCTGGGGGAGAAAGCCTCTTGCTCCAGGTAAATGGGTTTCTTCAACAGAGGAAAAAAAAAAAAAAAACTCTTAATCACTGCATGCTGCTTGCTGCTAAGAATAGATGGAAACCACATTGTTCTGAATTACATTTCTGATGATTGAGCCGAGTGTCCATTCCACAAAAGAATGTTTTTTCTGTGGTTTGCAACAACAGTCTTAACATTATAAAAGAAGAGATGGAGACCATGGCAGTCCTGAAGGAAAGAAGGAAAATGCCATAGAAAGGACTGGATTGGAACAAAGCTGACATTTCCAACCCCCAAGGGGTTTCAGAGTGGGTGACAACCTCCTCTGCAGCCATGTCATTTGCTTCTTAATTGGCTGACAGATACTCAGTGCTTTATCTGCCTTCAGAAAAAATGTCTGAGGACAAGAAGACTCAGAAAAAGTGAAGAGTAATAGGTCTGCATTTACTCACACTTCCGACAAATCCAGATGAGCCCCCAGATGGAGACTTCCCGGGCTGGCAATGTCCCTGTTTAGGGCCTTGCTTGGCCACATGCAGGAGACGCCATGCCCACTCAGCCCATCAGGCTCCACCTTATTGTGCACCACCACTGATCCTATGCTTGCTTTGCAATTCGTGTTCACCCCACAGCTGGGCCAGGCATGCCCCAGCCCACCTGTGTTATAGCTCTTACTTGCCTTAGGTGGTTCCCGAGTTCTTGCCCTGTGTCCAAGAAGAATGAGGTTACACTGACAATTGAAGGGTGAGGTGTGTGGAGCAGAATTTTATTGAGTGATGGTAGAGTTCTCAATGTGGAAAGATTGCAAGGGTGGTCCCCCACCTCAAGTCAGGTGATCTCCCCAACAGTGTGACTGAGTCTGGGATTTTTATGGGCTCAGATGGGGAAGTATGTGCTGATTGGTTTGTGAGTATGCAAAAAAAAGGCTAAAAAACAGGTGCCACTCAAAGGTGGGCAGGACAGTGTGAAAAACCAATTAGGGAAGAATAGGCATATGTACAGTAAGTGAAGGGTAAGGATCAATCAGAGGAAAGCATGCCAAATGGGAAGAGAGGTTCTCAATCTGGTTTGTGAAATTGACTTGTAGCTTGGCTTTCAGACTTTAAACTGGCTTTGGCTTGAAGGTCAGGTTTCACTGGGGACATGTCCCTGTCTGCCTAGGCATTTGACTACCTCCTGCAGCCATCAACATTAGATTTATCTCACAGTTACAATCTTTGCAAAGGAGATTTCAACTAGACTGGGAATTATCTCACTGTACTTGACATTTGGGATCAGGCAGATAGTTAGAAATAATAGTTTCTTATATTCTGTTTTTTTTTTGTTTTCTTAGAATTAGATATATTCTGAAATATAGAGGAAATATATTATCTTTATTTTACAGGGCATTCTTATGTTAATCTCTCAGTCTTCCTGTAGAAGAGACAAACTGATGAGAAATTTTGTTTTAGAGAGGAAGTAAGAGTATAAATAAGTGACAGATATTATGCAACCATAAATTTTTACATTTTTTTTATTATGCATGTAATAATGTGATTTTCTATTAAATTAAGAAAAAAATAACTTGGTATAATTATTTTACTATGAAAGTGATTGTCAAGGATTGTTTATACTTTTATTCCAGGGACCCTTAGACATAAAATAATGTACATTTTCTATTGAGCAGTTAGAAATTTAATTTTCTCACTGATTCTCCAGTTCTGTAACATGGTAAGTAGGTCAAGGCCCTCCATTAACTTGCATTTCATTTTGTAATGCCATGATAATCTACAAGCAGTCTAATTTGTGTTAGAGCTAAAATTGATTGGTTTCAATAGAATCAAATTCTAAAATAGAAAAGACTGTTATTAGGTAACTTTTTCCTTCTGTGCTAAACACTGTTTTCTTCAAAGAATTTGAAAGTACTATAGTTTTGTGATCAAAATATAGTTAAAATACAGGACTATAAAATTTAATACAAACAAACCCTAAATATTTATACATAAAATATAGATGTGTTTTACTTAAAACTCAGACACACAAAGTATCTTTTTTGAAAAAAAAATAGTTTTATGAATGAGTTGTGAGTTCTGATTGGTTGGGTAGGAGACGAAATCATAGGGCATTGAAGCCGTCCTCTTGTGCTGAGTCAGTTCCTGGGTACGGGCCACAGTATCAGATGAGCCATTTGATTAGTCTGGGTGGTGCCATCTGATCCATCAGGGCAGGGTCTGCAAAATATCTCAAGCATTGATCTTAGGTTTTATAATAATGATGTTATCCCCAGGAGCAATTTGGTTAGGTTTGCAGCCTCCAGCTGCATGACTCCTAAACCATAATTTCTAATCTTGTGGTTTAACTGTTGGTCCTGAAAAGGCAGTCTAGTCCCCAGGCAGAAAGAGGGTTTGCTTTGGGAAAGGCTGTTATTTTCTTTGTTTTAAAGCTAAACTATAAACTAAGTTCCTCGAAAAGTTAGTTCAATCTATGCCTAGAAATGAACAGGGCAGCTTAAAAGTTAAAAGCAAGATGGAGTTGGTTAGGTCAGATCTCTTTCTCAGTTATGATTTTTGCAAAGGCAGTTTCACTTTCTTAAGACCTTCCAAAACATATTAAGTAAAAATAAATTAAGATACATAATAAAATTATTGCAATATATGAAATAAGTGTATATTTGTGTGTGTATATGAGTGTGTGTATAATTTTCAATTTTTAACCTTCATTGTTAACTATTCAAATTATATTTTGGCATTAGAATACCACTTATTTCAGCTATTTTCATAAAAATCTTTATAAAGTGAAACATTTCCTTTTGAAGCTGACTTTGCAAAGTTATACCAGTGACGGAAATCTAACATAAGTGACTCAAGCTTTTTTCTAACCTGAAGAGCTAACTGCCTTTGTTTATTCCTATGCATAGACAAAAGTTATTATGGGAGGAATTTAGTTTATAACTTAGCTGAGGAATTTAGTTAATAGTTTAACTTTAAAGCAAGAATGATAATAGTCTCTTCCCAAAGCTAAGAGCCTCCCTGTTCAGAAACTGAAAATACCTTTGTAAAACTAATAAAAGGTCACAAGGTTAAAATTATTGTATGGGCCCGAAGTCTGCTAAGACATGGCATAAATAGTAAAAACTCCATATTTCCTAGTTTGCATTTTGTAACTGTTTACTGCTCAGGAGTCACATAACCAGGGGTCACAATATTAGTGACTTTCCCTAATGCTCCCATAGATAACATCACTATTGTGAAAATTGAGACAGGTCTTAAAAAGATATTTTTCAGACCTTGCATTCCAGTAGACCAACAGATGCCACCCAGACTAGTGACCCACACAAAGGTACTGTCTCAACCCACAAAGACAGATTTGGCACCCCTGTGATTTCATCCCCAACTCACTCAATCACTAGAACCCATTCCCTAACTGCTTGCCTGCTGGATAACCCTTAAAAACCCTAGTATTCAAATTCCCTGGGAGTTAGGTTTGAGAAATCTCATGTTGTCCTCACTCAGCTGCCTTGCAAATATTAATCCCTTTGTCTGCTACAACACCTTCTGTCTCAGTGTATTAGCTTTTTCTTTGCCGTAAATCAGAAGAACCCAATTGGGCTTTAGTCACACTTTTACTCACACTTTTACTCACATTTTTAGTTACATGCTAATACATTTTAATAGACTTTTTTTCATCCAAAATTTATTTTAGATTTAGTGGTTACATGTGCATGTTTGCTACATGACTGAATTGCATCTCATTGGGGTTTGGTATAAAATTATTTCGTCACTCATTTAATGAGCATAATGCCCTAGGGGTTGTTTTTCAATGCTCACCCTCCTCCTACCTTTAAACATAAAGTAGGCACTGGTGTCTATTGTTTCCATCTCTGTGCCCATGTTTGGCTCCCTCCTATAAGAGATAACATGGAGTATTTACTTTCTGTTTTCTGCATTAACTTGGTTAAGACAATGGCCTCTGCCTTCATCCATGTTTTTGCAAAGGACATGAATTAATTTTTTTATGGTAACATAGTATTCCATGGCATATATATACCATATCTTCTTATCCAGTCCACTGCTGATGGGCTTCTAGGTTGATTCTATATCTTTGCTATTGTGAAGAGTGCTGTGATGATTATATGCATCCATGTGTTTTTATGGTTGAACTATTTATTATCCTATGAATATATATCCAGTAATGGAATTGTTGGTCAGTAGTAGTTCTAAGATCTTTGAGAAATCTATAAACTGTTTTCCACAGTGGCTGAACTAATCTACACTCCCACCAACAGTGTATAAGTGTTCCCTTTCTTCACAAACTTGCCTATATGTGTTATTTTTCACTTTTTAAGAGTAGTCATTTTGAGTGGTGTGAGATAATGTTTCATTATTGTTTTTGTTTGCATTTCTCTAATAACTAGTGATGTTGAGTATTTTTTCATGTTTGTTGCCATGCATATACCTTCTTTTGAAAAGTCTCTGTTAATGTGCTTTGTTTATTTATTAATGGGGTTGTTTGTTACTTGTTAAATTGAATGAATTCCTCATAGATCCCAGGTATTAGACCTCTGTTGAATGCATAGTTTGCAAATATTTCCTACCATTCTGTAAATGCTTGTTTACTCTGTTGACAGTTTATTTCATTATGCAGATTTTTAGTTTAGTTGAGTGTATTAGTCCATTTTCATGCTGCTGATAAGGGCACACCTGAAAGTAAGCAATTTACAAAAGAAAGAGGTTTAATTGAACTTACAGTTCCACATGGTTGAGGAAGACTCACAATCATGGTGGAAGGCAAGGAGGAGTGAGTCACATCTTACGTGGATGGCAGCAGGCAAAAGAGAGGGCTTATGGAAAGAAACCCTCATGTTTTAAAATCATGAGATCTCATGAGACCCATTCACTATCATGAGAACAGCACAGGAAAGACCCGCCCCCATGATTTAGTCATCTCCCACTGGACCCCTCCCTCAACACATGGGAATTATGGGAGCTATAAGATGAGATTTGTGTGGGGACACAGAGCCACACCATATCACTCTGCCCCAGCCCCTCCCAAACAGTATATCATCACATTTCAAAACTAATTTTCAACCATCCTCCAAAGTCTTAACTCAGTTCAGCATTAACTCAAAAGTCCACAGTCCAAAGATTCATTTGAGACAAGGCAAGCCCCTTCCACCTATCTGCCTATGAGCCTGTAAAATCAAAAGCAATTTAGTTACTTCCTAGATACAACGGGGGTACAAAAATTGGGTAAATACAGCCATTCCAACCTGGAGAAATTGGCCAAAACAAAGGGCTACAGGCCCTATGCAAGTCCAAAATCCAGCAAGTAAGTCAAATCTCAAAGCTCCAGAATGATCTCTTTTGACTCCTTGTCTCACATCCAGCTTGCTCTGGTGCAAGGGGTGGGTGATAATGGTCTTGAGCAGTTCCACCCTGTGGCTTTGTAGGGTACAGCCTCCCTCCCAGCTGCTTTCACGGGCTGGTATTGAGTGTCTGTGGCTTTTCCAGTTGAGTGGTGCAAGCTGTTAGTGGAGCTACCATTCTGGGGTCTGGAGGACAGTGGCCCTCTTCTCACAGCTCCAATATGTGGTACCCCAGTAGGGATTCTGTGTTGGGGCTCCAACTCCACATTTCCCTACTGTACTGCCTTAGCAGAGTTTCTCCATGAGGGCCCCATCCTGCAGCAAACTTCTGCCTGGTCACACAGGAATTTTCATACATCCTCTGAAATCTAGGCGGAGGTTCTCAAACCCCAATTTTTGACTTCTGTGCACTTGCAGGCTCAACACCACATGGAAGCTGCCAAGGTTTGGGGCTTGCACCCTCTGAAGCCACAGCCCTAGCTCTGTGTTTGCCCCTTTCAGCCACAGCTGGAGTGACTGGGACACAGGCCACCAAGTTCCTAGCCTGCAAACAGCATGGGGACCCTGATACTGGTCCGCAAAATATTTTCCCCTAGGCCTCTAAGTCTGTGGTGGGAGGGGCTGCCATGAAGACCTCTGAAGCACCCTGGAGACCTTTTCCCTATTGTCTGGGTATTAACATTTGGCTCCTCGTTATTTATGCAAATATCTGCAGTGAGCTTAAATTTCTCCTCAGAAAACGGAATTTTCTTTTCTGTCACATTGTCAAGTTGCAAGTTTTCTGAAATTTTATGTTCTGCTTTCCTTACCAAACTAAGTGCCTTTAACAGTATCCATGTCACCTCTCGAGTGCTTTGCTGCTTAGAAATTTCTTCCACCAGACATCCTATATCATCTCTCTCACGTTCAAAGTCACACAAATCTATAGGGCAGGGGCAAAATGCTGTCAGTCTCTTTGCTAAAATATAACAAGAGTCACCTTTGCTCCAGTTCCCAACAAGTTCCTCATTGTCATCTGAGGCCACCTTAGCCTGGATTTCATTGTCCGTATAATTATCAGCATTTTGGTCAAAGTCATTCAACAAGTCTCTAGGAGGTTCCAAACTGTCCCACATTTTCTTGTCTTCTTCTGAGCTCTCCAAATTGTTCCAACCTCTGCCTGTTATCCAGTTGCAAAGTTGCTTCTACATTTTCAGGTATCTTTTTAGCAGCATCCCATTCCTGGTACCAATTTACTGCAATAGTTTCTATTTTCCCACTACTGATAAAGACTTACCCGAGATTTGGGCAATTTACAAAAGAAAGAGGTTTAATTTGACTTAGTTCACCTTGAGTTTATTTTTATAGATAGTAAAAGGAATGAGTCCAATTTAAATATTCTGCATATGGCTAGCCAGTTATCTAAGCACCATTTATTAAATAGTAGTCCTTTCCCTATCACTTATTATTGTCAGCTTTGTTAAAAATTAGATGGTTGTAGGTGAGTGGCTTTATTTCTGGTTTCCATAACTTGTTCCATTGTCCTGTGTACCTGTTTCTATATCGGTACAAAGCTGTTTTGTTTACTTAGTATAGTTCGAAGTTGGATAGTGGGATGCCTCCAAATTTGTTCTTTTTGCTTAGGGATCCTTTGGCTACTCTAGCTCTTTTTTGGTTATATATGAGTTTTAGAGTAAGTTTTTTAGTTCTGTGAAAAGCGTTGTTGGTAGTTTGATAGGAATAGCATTGAACCTGTAAATTTCTTTGGGCTGTATGGACATTATAACAATATTGATTTTTTTTCTATTCAAAATCATGGAATGTTTTTGTATTTGTTTGTGTCATTCTGATTTCTTTCAGCAATATCCTGTATTTCTTGTTGTCAAGATCTTTCACCTTCCTGGTTTCTTGTATTCCTAGATATTTTATTATTTTTGTGGTAATTTAAAATAAAAATGCATTTTTGATTTTGCACTCAGCATGGATGTTCTCAATGTACAGAAATGCTACTGATATTTATATATTGATTTAGTATCTCGACACATTGCTGAAGTTGTTTATCATAACTAGGAGGATTTGGGCAGAGATGTGGGGTATTTTCTAGGTATAGAATCATATCTCCTGCAAAAATATACTTTGATGTCCTCTCTTGCTATTTGAACACTTTATATTTTTTCCCCTTGCCTGATTGCTCTTGCTAGGACTTCCAGCAGTATGCTGAAGAGGAGTGGTGAGAATGGGTATCCTTGTTCCATTTATCAAGGAAGTTCCTTCTAGTTTTTGCCAGTTCAGTATGATGTTGGATGGAGGTTATAGATGGCTCTTATTATGTCAAGGTATTTTCCTTTGATTGCTTGTTTTCTGAGGGTTTTTAACATGAATCAGTGTAGAATTTTGTCAAAACAGTTTTCTATGTCTATTGAGATAATCATGTGGTATTTGTTTCCTATTCTCTCTGTGTGATTGGTAAATCATATTTATAGATTTGCTTATGTTAATCAGCCTTAAATCCCATGGATAAAGCCCACTTGATGGTGGTGAATTAATTTATTAATGTGCTGCTTGATTTGGTTTGCTAGGATTTTGTTGATGATTTTCGCATCTATGTTCATCAAGGATATTGGCCTGAAGTTTTTGCTTTTTTGTTGTGTCTCTGAAACAACATGGTTTTGTATCAGAATGATGGTGACTTGCCCTCCTCCTTAGTTTTTTGAAATAGTTTCAGTAAGAATTGTAGTAGCTCTTTTTTACACACCTGATGGAATTTGGCTGTGAATCTGCCTGGTCCAGTACTTGTTCTGGTTGGTGGGTTTTTTATTCCTGATTCAATTGTGTAACTTGTTTTTGGTCTGTTTAAGGATTCAATTTCTTCCTGGTTCCATCTTGGGAGGGTGTAGGTGTCCAGGAATTTACTCATTTCTTCTAAGTTTTCTAGTTTTTTATGCAGAGGGGTGTCTATAATATTCTCTGATGGCAATTTGTATTTCTATGGGGTCAGCGGTACTATTCCCTTTGTCATTTCTAATTGTAATTATTTGGATCCTCTCTTTTTATTTGTCTAAGTAGCAGTCTATCAATATAATTTATTCTTTCAAAAAACCAACTTTTGGTTTTGTTGATCTTTTGTGTGGATTTTTGTGTCTCGATTTCATTCAGTTCAGCTCTGATTTTCACTATTTCTTTTCTACTGCTAGCCTTGGGGTTGGTTTGCTCTTGTTTCCAGTTCCTCTGGGTATTACTTAAGTTGTTAATTTGAAAGCTTTCTAACTTTCTGATGTAGGCTTTAAGCAGTATAAACTTTCCTCTTAACACTGCTTTAGCTGTGTCCCAGAGATTCTGTTATTTTGTATTTTTGTTTTAATTAGCTTCAAAGAGTTTCTTGATTTGTGTCTTAATTTCGTATTTTACCCAAAAGTCATCTAGGACAAGGTTGTTTAATTTTCATGTAATTGTATGGTTTTGAGAGATCGTCTTGCTATTGATTTCTGTTTTCATTGTTCTGTGGCCTGAGAGTATAATTGGTTTATTTGTTTTTAATTTGTTGAGAATTGCTTTATAGCCAAGTGTGTTTTCGATTTTAGACTATGTCCTAAGTGCAAATTAGAAGAACATATATTCCGTTATAGTTGAGTGGAGTGTTCTGTAGATGTTTGTTAGGTCCATTTAGTCAAGTTTTCTACTCCAGGTCCCAAATATTTTTGTTAGTTTTCTGCCTCAATGATTATGTCTACTATTGTCAATGGGCTGTTGAAGTCCCCCACTATTATTGTGTGTTTATGTAAGTCTCTTTGTAGGTCTCTAAGAACTTACTTTATGAGTCTAGGTGCTCCAGTGTTGGGTGGATTATATATATTTAGGATAATTAAATCTTCTTGTTGAATTGAATCCTTTATCCTTATGTAATGACCTTTTGTGTTTTTTTTTATTGTTGTTGGTTTAAGGTCTGTCTTCTCTGATATAAGAACAGCAACCCCTGCTTTTTGTTGTTGTTTTTTGTTTGCTTTATACATTTTCTCGAACCTTTTACCTTTAGCTTATGGATGGCATTGAATGTGAGAGGGGCCTCTTGAAGGATGCATAGAGTTGAGTCTTCTTTCTTTATTCAACTTGCTACTCTGTTCCTTTTAAATGTGGTATTTAGCTCGTTTATATTCAAGGTTAATATCAATATATAGGGATTTGATCCTGTCATTGTGCTGTTAGCTGGTTCTCATGTAGACTTGATTGTGCAGTTGCTTTATAGTGTCAATGGTCTATGCACTTAAGTGTGTTTTTGTGGTGGCCATTAATAGTCTTTCATTTCTATGTTTAGCATTCCCTTAAGGACCTCCTACAAGGAAGGTCTTATAACAACTTCCCTTGGAATTTGCTTACCTAAAATAATTTTATATCTCCTTTGTTTATGAATCCTAGTTTGGCTGAATATGATATTCATGGAATGTCTTTTCTTTAATGATGATAAATATAGGCCCTTATCTTTTTGATCTTGTAGATTTTCTGCTAAAAGGTCCATCATTTGCATGATGATGTTCCCTTTGGAGGTGATCTGCTCTTTCTGTCTAATTGCCTTCAATATTTTTTCTTTCGCATCCACTTTGGAGAATCTGATAACTATGTGTCTTGGGAATGATCATCTTATATGGTATCTTAAAAAAGCTTTCTGAATTTCCTGAATTTGTATGTCATTTTTTTCTGTTGAGTTTGGGTAAATTTTCATGGATAATATTTTCAAACATGTTTTCCAAGTTGCTTGCTCTCTCTTACTGTCTTTCAGGGATGCCAATGAGTCATAGGTAGAACCTCTTTACATAACATTATATTTCTTGTATGTTGTGTTCATTTGTTGTTTCTTTTTTCTTTATCGTTGTTCGACTGTGTTGATTCAAATAACTGGTCTTCAAGCTCTGAGATTCTTTCCTCAGCTTGGCTTATTATGCTGTTAACATCTATGACTATATTATAAAATTATTTTAGTGAGTGTTTCAGTTCTATCAGATCAGTATTTTTGCTGTTATTAAAGTGGTTTGGTCTTACTGGATTTCATAGATTCCTTCAAATTTCTTCCAAATCTCAATGGTCTTCATTTTCATTTAGATTCTGTATTCTGTGTCTGTTATTTCAGCTTATTTAAGAAGCATTAATGGGGAACTAGTGCAGTCTTTTGGAGGTAAGAAGAGACTGCCTTTTAGAGTTGCCAGAGTTTTTGCACTGGATCTTTCTCATCTGTGTGGACTGATGTTCCTTTAAACTTTGAAGTTGCTGTCCTTTAGATGGTGCTTTTTGCTTTTATATTCTTTGGTGTTCTTGAGAGTTTGACTATGGTACAAGTTGGAATCAATGAACTGGTTTCGTTTCTCAATTATTTCAGGTAGCCAAGGCTTAGTACAGCACTCTTGGACTGCATGCTCCAAACCTGGGGAGCTGGGATCTATCCCACGGCTCTGTTCTCTGGCTCTTAGAAGTTAAGACCCCACTGCACTGGAGGGGCCAAGGTGTTTCTAGTCCACTGGTAACAATACTTTGGTGGGGGTGGTGTCAAAATGCTTCATCAAGGTGACGGTAGCAGGAACTATGCTCAGACATGCACAAGCGTGCCAGTGGCGAAGGGCACAGGTGCAGTTTGCATTCTAGTGATGTCAGGGAGGCATCTGGGCTCAATAGACATTTTAGTGTAAGAAATAATAAATAAATATAAAAACATAGTTGGTTTTTATTATATATAGCTGGTTTTATATTAAATAAGAAGCGTAATTAAATAAGAAGCGTATTTTTTTCCCGGAGCAGAGTTTTACCATGTCACTTTTAATGAGAAAATGAAGTAAGGTTCTCTGTAAAATAGCCTTACACTGGTCCAGTATTTATTATTAAATAAATCATGTTATAATGCACACTTATATAAGACCTTTTTGATAATTTAATTTTAGTTGCTCTTTAATTTTTTTAACTAAACTAAAACAAAAACAAAAAGACTAGTTTTGTTTAACTAAATTAAACAAAAACAGACTAGAGAGTCAAAATAATTTCTTCTTATCTGAACTTTGTAGATTCCCCCATGATAATTTAGCACACAGAAAATAGTTAAGCACATCATCCCAAATAATCTTTCTTAAAGAGACAGTCTCTATCTAAGCTTGCTAAATAAATATATTGATTCATACATGATTCTATTTTTTAAAATGCATGTTTAACACAAAGTTCAGGCAGTATTTTTTGACACATTATATCAATAATAAGGCAATATTAAGTAATGTGGCTTCTCTGTTTATGGCAATTATAGTTGTCTTCGCACTCTATTTAATCATACAAATTGATCTGGAATTATTTCTATATTAATTCTTATAAAACAGACTTTGCCAGTGAAAATTTTCTCTAATAGAATAAGGTAAATTTGCTGAGACTGAGTTTTTTCTAAATTCATCTTAGCAGTTTGAATAATTTGAGATTCCACAATATGAAAGAGTAAGGTTAGTCCACTAGCCTTGCTAGCGGAATATTTAAAAAACAACCTTGAAACAGTTAAATCATGTGGATTAATCAAAGTTTCTTATGCATGTGGCCTGTTCTCAAGACAGAAAAGACTTTAGAATTAATCAAATAAGGATACATTGTTTTCAAGGTCTGAAAAATTTTGGGGGACAAAATAAGGTAGGCTACATCCAAAATCCTATGACTTCATTCTTCATTATTATTAATTTTATATCTCTATTCTTTGGATTTTTAAAAGTTATTTTTATATTATTGGTAGAATATATAAAATCTGTATTTCGTTGAACAGCGTGGGATCCCTAACCAAATTAGTTAGGCTTGGCACATCTCAGAACATTAGGATCAAATGATCTGTTAATGTTTTATTAAGACTGCTTGAATTAATGCCACATAATTATGAAACATATAATTCAAATAATAAAAAAGACACTCATGTCTAGGAGGTATTTCTAGAAACACATTTATCTGAAATAGGATATTTCAGAATATTAATATAGCATGTTTTGTTGGTACTCACTGAATCTGCCCATTTTTTGGTCATAATTAAGACCTATCTTATGCTATGAATTTATAAGAATGCAGTAATGCAGAGAACATGTAATAAAACAAGTGAATGGAAGAATTGAATTCTTAAGGAATTGAATTCTTAGGAAAATGTTATTGCTAATGAGTTTTTAGTTTTGATTCTAATAGTTAACTTATAACTATTCATGATATAAATCATACCAAAATGTCAGTCAAAATGCCATTGACTATTTCTTGTTCCGTATTTCACATGAATGCAAACTATATCGACACAAAATATTTTCCTGAGATTTCTTGTAATAGTTTTGAAAAATATAGTAAATAAAAATCCAACACACACAACTAAGTTTGAATTTCAGATATTCAATTAGGGTTTCCTAGTATGCTTATGCAATATTTGGGGCAAACTCACAAAAAAATTACTTATTGTTTAGTTGAAGTTCAGGTTTAATTGGACTTTCTGTATTTTCTCCCACAAGCCTATTTGAAAGCCCCCAGGTATAACTTGTTCAGATAGTATTGAATTCGGATCTAGGAGATTTCAATGCCTTTCCATTACTTTAAAGATAGATGGCCTTTTGTTCAGGAGATTCTTAATTAATGCTAATTGTCCCAATATGACTAATAATAGTGTCCCTTTAATCTTAAAAGTGGACCGAATTAAATATAAGTTGTGAATTTTGTGTTCTTTGATAAGAAACAAAGATAACTTCAGTTCCCACTACTCTAATGAACATTTTATGCTTCTTTCTATTTTTACTACTAGAAACATAAATGTGAATACTAAACAGATATTAGAACCTCAGTATGCTCTCCAGAGTCTACTTTTGCACAGCACAAAGTACATAATATAAAACTGGCAACATAACCTTCAGTAGAAATGGTCTCTGGTACATTAGTAAAAAAGAAGACCAAAATAAAGAGAATACTTGTAAAATTATTAGCATAACTAATTCACATTTTATTCAGTTCCCACCCAATAACAAGAAATCCACTTTTGTATACTTTTTTTCAAAGGTCAGATTCATGAAGATGAGATATTAATAAAAGGGGGAATATAACAATTTAAATTGCTACAGTAAAATGGAATAACTACCTGGGCTTTTTACATTTGAACTCAGAAGATTTTAATTAAGTTTACCTTTTTGTAAACACATCATTATCTTGTATGCATTATGTTCATGCATATACTTGAACATAATGCATACAAGAAAATTATGTTTTGTCTGCCTCAGTTTTTCTTATTCTTGGTTTCTGATTTGTCTGTTCCAATTCTGAGGTCTTGGACCTCTTTATACATTTTCCTTATTGCTGAATTAATACTGAATAGAGAACAGCTAAGAAAGAGAGAAAAAAAACAAGAGAGAAAGAGTGAATGAAAATTCCCTAAATTGACCCTTGTTAAATTTAACTCTTTTCTTACCTTTAAAATATAACGTTTTCTATGATAATGACGATATTTAAGTTATCCCTTCCCTGAATATATTGTATTAACACTCCCTCTCTTTCTCTCTTCTAGACATTTCCATACAAATACACACTTATTCTGATATCTTTCATTTTTAAACCAACTCCTTCATTCCACATGCATTTCAGCATTTGCTTATCTCTTTATTACTACACTTCTCCTTCCTCTACCTACACATACTCATCCCCTGGTTCTAGTTCTCTCAGTAACTGGTACTACTGTCCAGCTAGTTACTAAACAGGAGGGAATCTGCCATGACAGTTCCCCTTCCTCATCTCTGCATCCAAATTCATACTATAAAGTCTTGCACTTTCCTCCCAATTATATATTAATTTCTTTTTGCTTCAACTGATGGCAACCTACTCTTTCTTGGACTACTAACATAATTTTTCATTTGGTCTCCCTACTAATTCTGTTCTACGCATTCTATTATATTTTTCCCCAAAATATACTATTACTGCAACTCTCCTGGGCAAAGTGATATCTATCTTCACAGTAACTAAAAGGCATGGAAATATCCAAGCCTGGATTCAATTCAATACTATTTGTTTAAGTTTGTTCTGTTTACTAAAGAAACTTCTGGTTTCCTGGATATTGCGCCCCTTTTGCCTTGAGAGAATCAAAGTAAAATTTTGATATCTGAGCTTATGTATCTAGGAAGCAGAAGGAAGTGAAGGAGGAGTACTATATTAATGTAATATGGGGCTGGAAGAAAAAAATCAATAAGTTCTCAAGAAAGAGGTTCAACATCAGACCATAAGAATAAGGAAAGTGCTGAAAATGATACTTCAAATACTGGGTCTGAGTAGCGCAAATTAAGAAATAGAATGGCCAGGCACGGTGGCTCATGCCTGTAATCCCAGCACTTTGGGTGGCTGAGGTGGGCTGATCACAAGATCAGGTGTTCGAGACCAGCCTGACCAACATGGTGAAACACCGTCTCTACTAAAAATACAGAAATTAGCCAGGCCTGGTGATGCGCACCTGTAATCCCAGCTACTAAGGAGGCTGAGGCAGGAGAATTGCTTGAACTCTGGAGGTGGAGGTTGCAGTGAGCCATGGTTGTGCCACTGCACTCCAGCCTGGACGACAGAGGGAGACTCTGTCTCAAAAAAATAAAAAAAAAAAGGAAAGAAAGAAAAAAAAATTAGTTTCAATTTACTTTTTAATTGTTGCATGGTTTCCTAGCCTGAGAAGTTGTTATGAATTATATGTAATGATAGAATAATAATAAATGTATCTATGGCAGTTGATAGACTAGCTGCAAGATATATTATATCTAGGTTGTCTGAAATTTCACACTTTCACCAGAAATGATTTGAATATATTGTGTTTTTATTGGATTACATTATATATAGGGTTTATAGAATGACATTCATTATGCTTAGTATTAGTGTTTTAATATAATTCTAGACCTTTCAGTATTTTTTAGGTAGAAAATCCAGACATATTATATATTTTTGCAGAATTACTGAATTTTTACCATTAACCCTCAGTTGTTTTTTCTTTTTTCTTTTTAATTTTCAAGACATCAGAAACTTTCTAACTATGATCTTAAAATGGGGGAAAAAATAAAAAAATAATAATTTGCTTTTTAACGTCACCTTTTCCTTTCTCTTTTTCTATTTTCTGCCTTATATAATTTCATAAATAATAGAATGCATGTATTTTAAATATTTATTAAATAGAATGATATAAAACAATGTATAACTAGCATAAAGAATAAATAATAATATAATAAAATATTTACAATTTGTAATGATAAAACATTTTTATACTTTTTCATTATGTTGGGCAAAATGTTACACTTTTTCTGCACAAAGAGAAATGTATGTTAACGTTTAAGTCACAGTATTTAAATGATAATAAATTATTTTATTTTATTATAATAAATTATTTAAATTATAATAAATTAGGACTATGGGTAAAATGTAGCTATTCTTGTTATTGTTTATAGAGGTAGATCTGTCTCAGGTTTTGTCTATATTTCTGTTACTCAATAAATTCTTATAATCCTCTCTCTCTCTCTTACACACACACACAGTATTTTACATATTAATGAAGGGTAAATGCTGATAATACCTGATGAATGAATCAGAAAAAAAAGAAAAGTTAATATGATGAGTGTGATAAAGCAATGTGCAAAGACCATGTAATATTATAAATCAAAGAGAGAATTCCAGAATAGCTATTTTAGGAAATTAATTTTATCATGATGGTATTTAAAGAATAAGTTTGAGTAGTCAGAGATAAAAGAAAAAGTGTTTTTTAAGGAAAAACCCATAATTAAAACGACTAGTAATGGGTGATGATGGAAAGGCTAATGTGGTTGCTGCAGGGAGAGCATGAGAGTAAAGAGAGGCTGAAGAATTGAGGTATCCACAGGGAAAAGACTGCAGGACTTGCATATGATGTAAATATTTCCACCTCTACTTGAGGAAAACTGAAAAATATGTGTGCACTTTAAACTTGGGAGGGACAGATTTATTTACTTGCCTGTACTGTGGAGAAATGTCTAAAATAAAATAATAGAGGCAGCAGTGGCTGAGTGGTCTAACCAGTTAATAGATTACTTAAATTGGATCGTCATTCAATCTTTTATGTAGCAAATATTTATGACATAGATGTGTCACCTAAGACGCTTTATTCAGCCCTCATGGTGGGCATACATATTTTTGCTTTTAAATAACTTGTTTTGCTTTAAAAATGGAACTATTAGTTTTATAATTATCTATTATAAATAATATGATATTCATAGGGCTTTTTCTTACTGACAAAATACAATTCTATTACAGAAATGGCTACCACATTCAAAATTTGAATGAGAAAATGACAGCAAGAATAAGAAACTAGGTGTAATTTTGTCAATTGGAGTGAGTAGTTCCAGGTAGCAAATAACTCCATAGCCAACCTACTAAGTGTGTATTTATGTAGGACTCCCAATAACATGGGTAAGTAATACAGCTCCCATTCTTTCTTATGGAAACAAACAAACAAAAAATCCCTCTCCATAAAACTATCCAATTATATGTCGACAGTGGATATACCCATTCACTTCTCCATCAAATGGCAGTCTCAATTTCATATCAATACAAAATTTACAGCATACTATTATAAGAATGAATATCGATGGTGGGAAACTATTTGAAGGACCCCAAGAAATTACACAGAAGAATAGAAAATAATATGGAGTTTTTAAAAAAGTGTTGGAAGTACAGCAAACACTATATTTAAAAAATAAAAACAAAGAAAAAAACAACAAAATGATCTTTCCTCACCTAAAAATCTCAAAGAGTTGTGCAGAATAAAGTACATATCGCCTCAATGTTAGAGTAGAATTCCAAGCAGGGTTTTTCCCTATGTTAATTTTCATTGACTGTATTCCTTAGGTACTTTTATATTTTACTTTTTTATGCCTACTTTGAAATGAAGAGCAAGTTTGTCTTTATGGAATAAGTTTACTTCTCACTCATATCACAGTAAAAAGTAAGTCCTTGGCTGTCCCTGGCAGTTCCTCAGGGATGTGAGTTCCCCCATTAATGGTTTTGTCACATGAAGCCTTTGCTCACAGTTCAAAGCCTGGAGGAGAGACAACATGGGTTAGGCACACAGGTTTTAATTGCCATGGTGTGAAATGACTTACACTCCTTCTCCTTACATTCCACTGGCTAATCTCAATTATATGGATCTTCTAAACTACAGGCGAGACTGGAGAATAATGATTTCTATTAGCTTAGAAGAGGAAAATGAGAGTTTAACATTTTGTCGACTTGAGAAACAGTAGCAAATTAAAAGTAAGTTTTGGCACTTATTTTTTAAAGTGTTTATTATTATAATTTATAGTTATAATTATGCATGTCTGCTTTCCCTTTATAGATCACTCTCATTTTCAAGGCAGATTTCTGTTAGATCTTTACTTCCTTTCCAGAAGACAAGGGCACTCATTTGAAAATATGTGACTGAGAGCAAAATCTGAGCACCTATTTTGATGTGTAACTGAAAAATAAATGTGGATTATATGTATAAAACAATGAACACTTAGATTACTCTTATCTGGAATAGTATATGTCAAAAAGAAAAGCTAAGGAGACCATCTGGTGTAGGTAAAAGCTAAGGAGACTGTTTCATCAAGGTTAAATGAATCAGCAAACGTTATGACAATAAATAATATCAAAGTTATTTCTAGAAAACACTTCATGATCCTAGTCCAGTGACTTCCCTTCCATATTGTTGTTTCCTTATAGATATATTTCAGATGAAACGTTTTAAAAACTGTATTTAGTTTTACTAATAAACACATATATGTATGATTTACAAAATAAAATGTAGGCTCATGACAACTGGGATTTTGTCATTTCTAGGGCAACATAAACTTGTATGGTTCATTCTCATTACTGAGTATAATTGAGAATTTATCTCTTGAGTATTTTACAAGCATTTATAAATGTAAATGATTTGGAAATTATCAATAGCATTATAATGCTAGATATAAACTAAGGTGAGCTTAGCAGTCAGCCTTAATTAATATCCTCAAATATTTAAAGCAAATGCATAGTTGTGTATGTTTAAGTGTGTGATAATAAGATAAAAAAGTTAAAGAAAGAAGAAAGATAGGGAGACTACAAGATTAATATTTAACTTCAGATATTGCAAACATAAATGAGAAAAGAACAGTCTACATAAATGTATACAGTCTGTAAATATATAGACTATATGTAAAAAGAGAGATATTTTTTTTTGCTGTTTTGAGCTTTTCTATTTTTCAACATTTCCTTTACAATATCTTGTTAAATAGTTATGGCTGAAATATTTTTATGTTATTATTTAGAATTGACACCAAACTTCTGATACTAGAATTCTGTTAACTTGAGAATAGCTTCAAGCACAAGAAAATTTATTCTAATGAGTGAATTTTTTCAAAATGTGTTTGGAGGAATGTTGAAGAGAAAAACCAGCAAAAGGATTACTTTTTTCTTCAAATATTCCAGTAAGACCTAAAATTAAATCTGTGATTGTTATTAATATGATTAATGTTCTATTGTTTTGATAGTTTTATTTTATATCATAGATCAATCTCTTAAAAAGAAATAGCAATACAATTCAGTGATTTAGTTACTCAGTCTGACATAATGTGTATAGAAGCATTACAATTTATAACCATTCATCTTCTTGTAGCTTTATTTTTTAATTATTTATTTATTTATTTATTTGAGATGGAGTTTTGCTCTGTCACCAAGCTGGAGTGCAGTGGTGCAATCTCGGCTCACTGCAACCTCCGCCTCCCGGGTTCAAGCCATTCTCCTGCCCCAGCCTCCCGAGTAGCTGGGACTACAGGTATGCGCTGCCACCACACTCAGCTAATTTTTTGTATTTTAGTAGAAACGAGTTTCACCATGTTGGTCAAGATGGTCTCTATCTCTTGACCTCGTGATCTGCCTGCCTTAGCCTCCCAAAGTGCTGGGATTACAGGGGTGAACCACCGCGCCTGGCCTTCTTCTGGCTTTTTAAATGTGTTATCTTATTTCTTTATAACTGAGGTAAACACTTCATTTGTGGAAAAAAATGAATTAAAGAATGTTTATTTGTTCCTGACTCTTCCACGTTCTCTACTTTATGCAAGGTTCTATATATTGGCTTTTGGATTAGCTGGTCTTTCTCTTTTTATTTATTCTGTTCTTTCTCCATTTATTTTTTTTCATTTGTTCTCACTTACAACAGCACTGTCCAGTTATGAAAGTATCAAGATGTAGAAGAGATTTTGAGAGTTTGCCCTGAATTTAATTCAGAACAGAGTTTAGAATCTGACTTGACACTTAATAATTAGATAATCTAATTAAATTAATTAGACAATCTGAGGTTGAGTACCTTGATTTGAGTATTGTTAACATAAAATGTAACACTATATATATTCATCTGACATTTATATAGGATGGTATCCCAAAGAGCCAATGATGTTGTTGATATGGTTTGGCTGTGTCCCCACCCAAACCTCATCTTGAATTGTAGCTCCCATAATTTCTACATGTCATGGGAAAAACCCGGTGCGAGGTAATTGAATCATGGGGTGGGGGGGGTATTTCCCATGCTGTTCTTGTAATAGTGAACAAGTTTCATGAGATCTGATGGTTTTATAAAGGGGAGTTTTCCTACACACTCTCTTTTGCCTGCCTCCATGTAAGACATGACTTTGTTCCTCCTTGCCTGCCACCATGATTGTGAAGCCTCCCCAGCCATGTGGAACTGTGAGTCAGTTTAACCTCTTTCATTTGTAAATTACCCAGTCTCAGGCATGTCTTTATTAACAGCATAGCAATGGACTAATACAGCTGCCGTCAATGAGATTATAGTCCAATATTATATTAAATATATGTCATCTTAGTAAACATAATCGTCACAAATATGGATTGTTTGACTTGATTTGAGGTATGAAAGAGCTAAGTGAAAATAATAAAATGTTAATTGATTAGTGGCCCAAATAGAGAGGTTAAGATGTCATGAAAACTAAAAGACAGATTTTCATGAAACAAAGACATCAATTATTTCAAATAGTGGTGAGCTATCAAAATTTAGGCATATTAAAAGTTGGTCTTTGGAGTAAAAATCTAGAAGTCACTTGTTACAAGAGAAGGGATATTTTATTGGGATAGTAGGGCATAGATGCATGTTGGATTGAATTGAAGAGAGAAAAAAATTCTAGTTTTCCATAAGTGTGAATTAAAAACAATAAAAATGGTGGACAAATTGTGAAACAACTAAATTTCAAAACCAAAACATCATCTTAAAAATATTGAAGGACAAAAATAAAGGTCAAAAAATTGAGAACTTTCAATGAGGTGCTATAAATAGAAATGCAATCACCACATAATATTAAAGCACTATTGTAAGAATACAGAAACATTAAATGTAAGAAAACAGAAAAATTTATATATTATATAAGTGTATATACACAATGAGACTGACCAAAACAAGCTGATTGATATCTGAAAATAACTTAGAGCAAATGCTATGGGAAACAAATATGCAAATTTTGCAATAATCAGGAATGAAATCCAATGAAATGATACAATAATTTAAAATATTTCTATACCTGAAAGAATACCTACATTATATAAAGATAGAGAAAGAAAAGGCTAAATAGATGAATTCACACAAACCATTGTGATATTGTAATATAAGTCAGTGTATAAGTAGTAGTACATGCAGGTAATCATAAAGCATATAGATTTGGAAAACATGCATAATAAAATAGATCTAAAGAATGTCTATTAAACATCAAACCCCAAAGAGCAAGATATATATTATTTGATGTGCATATGGAATTGTTCACAAAGTAATCATTTTTTGACCCATAAAATAAGTCTAAACAAATACCAAAAAACTGAAATAAAGAAAATGTGTTGTCTCACAAGAAAGAATAAAGTAATAAATCAAGATTAAAGAGATAATTAATATTGCCTTCTAAATTTTTGGATAAGTACTTTATAAACATCTTTGTGACAATAAGCTCTCATAACAATATTTAATAAACAACAAATTGTAGAGGAAATGGCCAAGTCACTGGAAAAAAATAAGAATAGAAAATGGAAATAGTCCCACATCGCTTAAATAGATAATTTTTACAATTGAAATTATTAACACCAAGGAAATGCCAGGCCCTGGTGAATTAACCAGAGAACTATCAAATACATTTAAGAAAAACAATAGCACTGTTATCACACAAAATGTACCAGGAAATTAAAAATACCAGAAACTTTTTTTTTTTTACAGTCTCGCTTCTTCACCCAGGCTGGAGTGTAGTGGCACGATCTCAGCTCAGTGAAACCTCCACCTCCCAGGTTCAAGCAATTCTCCTGCCTCAGCCTCCCAAGTAGCTGGTATTACAGGCACAAGCCAATATGCCTGGCTATTTTTTGTATTTTTAGTAGAGATGGGGTTTCACTACGTTGGCCAGGCTGGTCTTGAACTCCTGACCTCAAGAAGTCTCCCCACCTCGGCCTCCCAAAGTGCTGGGATTACAGGCTTGAGCAACTGCACCCAACTGGAAACTTTTCTACAAAGTCAACATTATTACAATTGTAATACTTAACAAGGTCATTACAAGAAAAAATAATTTTAGACCAATCCATATTGTAAAGGCAAAATTTGAAAACAAATTATTATAAAACAAAATAAAATGACATATATAAAGGGATAGAGACACTTTGAATAGATCATACAAGAGGGAACACTGGAATTCAACAACAACAAAAAAGTGACAGAGAATACTTAAAACAAGGAAAGAAAATCAGGTAAGGGTGCCTCCCTGGCTGAGATGGGCTGAGTTGAGGGAGACTCCCAGGTATAAGGAAATGGTAAGCGAGAGACCCACAACAGTTGACATTTCCACCATGAATTTCTACAATCCTAGACATGGGAGAGCACTTTGACCCTTGCAGGCCCTGAACCTTATATAAGGAGCTGCCAGGAGAATCTGTGATGACGTTGCCCAAGGAAGAAAGCTTGCCCTGGGTTCCATGTATTCCCTGAGACCTAAACAGCTTCAGCAAGGTGCCTTTTTAGAATGTCACATCCAACATGCTGTACACTGTACTGGAGTCCTGTGGTGCTGGGACTGAGGTGCTGAGAAACACAAGCTGCTAGACCTGGGGTTCAGGTGTGAGTGACCATGGCTACTGCATCTGGGTGTGAGAGCCACGAGGACTGAGGTGTGAATGGTGCATGCACTCTGTACTCTTAGCCTAGGCTGCCATCACTGAAGGTGGCATTGCTTGCCCAAGTGGCAGACCCCAGCCATGCTGCTGCCTCTGACCCAAGAACACTTCCAGTGGCCTGAGAATCATCCCACCTCCACCTCTCACAGCCAGCACCCGTACACACCATCAGGGGACCTAAAGACATGTCAGTCTGTCCTGGTTTGACACTCACCCCCAGAGTAAGTTTGACACTTACCCCTGTTGTGGGTAAGTGAGAGACCCACAACAGTTGAGATTTCCACCATGAATTCCTACAATCCTAGACCCTAGTGGGAGCCAGGTGATTGCCCAGCCAAGTCCACCACCACTGATACCTGAACTTTACTCTCAGGAGTCTGAGACTGAGCCTACCAACTCAGCCACTATTACCATAGAAGGCATCTAGCTGCATATACCACCTGCAGGCCTGAAGACTTGCCTGCATAGCCATTCACAGACACTGCCAATACCTGTGTACACGGCTTGGAACCCAAAGGGCCTTTATGCCACAGCCACTGCACGCCATCTGCCCACGGTCCTGAGAAACGTTCCATCTGCCTGGCCCACTGCTGCAATTATCAGCATCGGTGTAAGCCACCTGAAGGTCCAAGGATTGGCCTGCCTGGCCCCACTACTGGTGATGGTGTGTGCCACCCTGGGGCAGAAAGACAGCCATGATCAGCCCACTAGTCCCACCACTGTGGCCTGAAGACTAGCCTACCTGGGTGTCCCACTTCCCAGAAAACCTGCACCACAGCTTCCACTAATAACTGAACTCTAACCATTGAGGAAATCATAGATACCACTAATGCCACTGACAGCCAAAGAAGTTATCCAGAGATTAAACTATTGCATGCATTCAGAATCAAACTCAAAGTACCCTATGGAACCAACACCATAGATTAATAATAAGGAAACATTTTTCACTTAGGAAAGCAAAATTCAGAAAAGGGGAGAAAGCAAGTGTTACACTGGATACACACATATCACCATAAGGACAAAGGAAACATAAAAATCAAAGAATTATGGCAACTCCAAGGAACTCAGTAATTCTCCAGCAACAGATTCTAATCAAAACAAACTCACAAAATGGAGGGAAAATCATTCAAATCATTAATTCTAAAGAAACTCAGTGAAATATAAAAGAATTCTGAAAAAGTATGCAAACAAATTTGAAAAATAATTCAGAATATGAATGAGAAATTTACCAAAGATACAGATACCATAAAAAAGAAGGAAACAAAAATGCTGACTGCGAAAATTCCTTGAGTAAAATATAAAATACATTTGAAAACCTTAACAATAGACTAGGTCAATTACAAGAAATAATCTCAGAACTTGACAGTTGTTTTGAAATAACCCAGTAAGATACAAATTAAACAAAATAATAAAAAGAAAGAGAAATGAAATAAATAATGCCACTGTAGGAGAGCACCAAACCACAATAACAAACAATAAAAGAAAAGAGAAAGAAAAAGAAAGAAAGAATGTGACAAAAAAACCCAGAAAATAATGAACAATATCAAAGGAACAAAAGTTTCTGTGTAAGTAATAACTTTCAACATAAATGGATTAAATTCTCTACTTAAAAGGTATAAATGTTCTGAGTAGATGAGAAACCATAATCCAACCATATGCTCTCTACAAGAAATGAACTTTACTTGTGAAAACACATACAGACCGAAAGTAAAGGAATGAAACAAATATTTTACACAAAAACTAAAAGTGAGTGGGAGTGGCTATATTTACATCAGATAATACAGACTTTAAGCCAAAAACTGTAAAATAAAAAAGACAAAGAACACCATTATATAATTAAAAAGGAATTCAGCAAGATAATATAACAATTCTAAGTATGCATGCATCCAACATGAAGCACCCAGATTCATAAAGCAAATATTACTAGATATAAAGAGAGATAGACTCCAGTACGGTAATAGTGGGGGACTTCAACACCTCACTCTCAGCATTAGACAGATCACGTAGACAGAATATCAATGAAGAAACATTGGATTTAAACTTGACTTTAGACCAATTGATCCAAGAGATATTAACTAAACATTTTATCCAACAACTACAGATACACATTCTTCTCTTCAGTACGTGGAACATTCTCCAGAATAGATTGTATGTTAGGCCAAAAAACAATTTTTGAGCACTTTTTAAACATTGATATTATATTAACCTTCTCAGACCAAAATTGAATAAAACTAAAAATAAACATAAAAACCATTATCAAGAGGAACTTTGGAAACTTTCCAAAACATAGAAATTAAATCAGAAGCTTCTGAATAACCACTAAGTCAATGGAGAAATTAAAATGGAACTCAAAACTTTTCTTGAAACAAATGAAAATGGAAACACAACTTCAAAACCTGTGAGATGCAGCAAAAGCAGTACTAAGAGGGAAATTTGTAGCAATAAATGCTACATGAAAAACACAGAAAGATTTTGAATAAACAATCTAACAATGTACCTCAGTGAACTAGAAAAGCAAAAACAAACCAATCCAAAATTAACAGAAAAAAAGAAATAATAAAGATCACAGCAGAACTAAATGAAATAGAGATCTAAAAAACAGTACAAATAACCAATGAAATTAAAAGTTGCTTCTTTGAAAAGATAAAATTAATAAACTGCTAGCTTGACTAACCAAAAATTCACAACAAAATATTAGCAAACAGAATTCAAGAGCAAATATAAAAGTTAATGGATCATGCATGATCAAATGACATTTCCTCAAGGGATTCAAGGATGTTTTAACATATACAAATCCATACATGTAATATACCACTTTAACAGAATGAAAAATAAAAACCTTACAGTCATCTCAATAGACACAGAAAAGGCATTTGATAAAATTCAAAATCCCTTCATATGAAAACTCTCAACAAACTAGATATAGAAGAAATATATCTCAAAATAATAAACACCATTTATGACAAACCAACAGCTAACATCATACTAAATAGGGAAAAATTACAAGCTTCTTCTCTCAGAACTGGAACAAGACAAGGATACCTACTTTCACCATTCCTAATCAACATACTACTGGAAGTCTTAGCTAGAGCAATTAGGCCAGAAAAGTAACGAAAGAAATTTAAATTAGAAAAGAGGAAGTCAAATTGTTTCTTTTTTTTGGAGGTGATATGATCTTATATTTAGAAAAAACCAAAGACGTCACCTAAAACTGTTAAAGCTGATAAGCAAATTCAGTAAATGTGTAGTGTACAAAATTATCATACAAATAACAGTAGTGTTTTTATGCATCGATATTGAAATAGCAGAAAAATAAGTCAAGAAGAAAATGCTGTTTAAAATAGCTACAAAATAAAACAAAATATTTATGAATAAAGTTAACCAAGTACGTGAAGATCTACAGAAATATGAATACTACAGTGCATTGATGAAGTAAACTGAAGAGAAGAAAAATGGAAAGATGTCTCATGCTCACAAATAGGAAAGATTAATATCAGTAAAATGACTACACTGCCAAAAGCCGTCTACAGATTTGATGCAATCCTGATCAAAACACCAATGTTATTTTTCACAGACACAGAAAAAAAATACTAAAATTCGTATGGAAGCAAAAAAGAGCCATAATAGCCAAAGCAATTCTGAGCAAAAATAAGAAAGCTGGACGCTTCACATTACCCGATGTCAAAATATATTACAAGGCTATAGAAACCAAAACAGAATGGTATTGGTATACAAACAGACACATAGATTAATGGAACAGAATAGAGCACACAGCAATAAATCTACATATTTATCACCAACTGATTTTTGACAAAAGCACCAAGAAAATACACTGGGGGAATCGACACCTTTTTCAGTAACGGTGCCAGGAAAATTGGATATTCACATGCAGAAGAATGAAACTGAATCTCTATTTCTCATCATATACAAAAAGCAACTCAAGATGAATTAAGAGTTAAACAGGAGACCCCAAACTATCAAATTACTAAAAGGAAACATAGGAAAAACACTCCAAGACATTGGTTTAGGTTAAAGGTTTTATGGGAAAGTCCTTAAAAGCAGACACCAAAAATAAAACATATTGGACTATATTAAACTAAAAATTATCTGTACAGCAATAAACAAAATAAAACAAGAAAGAAAAACAGTAAAGAGTCAACCTTTTGATATGAATAGACATTTCTCAAAAGAAGACATACAAATGGCCAACAGGTATGTGAAAATATAATCAACATCACTAAGCAACGAGGGAATGCATCAAAACCAAAATGAAATTTTACCTTACCCCAGTTAGAATGGCTATTAATAAAAGACAAAAAATAACAGATGCTAGTGAGGATATGGAGAAAAGGAAACCCTTATTCACTGTTGGCAGGATTGTATGTAGTATAACCAATATAAAAAATAACATGACATTTTCTTTAAAAAACTAAAAATAGAATTGCCATATGATCCAGCAATCCCACTACTGGGTATCCATGCAAAGGAAAATAAATTAGTATTTCAGATGGATACCTGCACTCACATGTTTGTCACAGCACTATTCATAACAGCAAAAATATAGGAATTAACCTAAGTGACCAACAATGAACAAATGGACAAAGAAAATGTGGTATGTGTACAAAATAAAATATCATTTAGTCATAAAAAGAATAAAATTATGCCACTTGAAGCAACATAGCTGGAACTGGAGATCATTATGTTAAGTGAGATAGCCTATACACAAAAAAACAAATACCACATACCCTTACTCTTATGTGAGAGCTAAAAATCTTTATGACATGAAAATAGAGATAGAATGATAGACACCAGAGTCTGGGAAGGGTGTGAGGGTGAGAGGGGGAAATAAATGAAATTTGGTGAATGGGTACACATTGATAGTTAGATAAAAGAAATAACTTGTAATGTTCTATAGTAGACTAGGGTGACCATAGTTGGTAACACTGTATTTTATATTTCTAAGTAGCTGGAAGAGAGGACTTAAAAATGTTACCAACCCATGGAAGTGATACTTAGAAATGGTAAATATTTAAGGTGATGCATACGCCAAATACCCTAAGTTGATCATTCCACATTCTATGCTCACATGTAACCCCCAAATATATAAAATATTATGCATAAAGGAAAAATAAATACATTAAGAGATAATAAATTCAACTAAAGTGGAGATTTTATAGGTATGAAAATGTAGTTAAACATTTGAAAAATTATCAATCAGTATAATTAATTACATGAGTTGAATTAGAAAAATTTCTTGCTTATCCCAATAACGTGCCAACAAACATTTGATAAAAGGCATAGTAAATAGAAAATGAAATGGAACTCTCTTAATTTGATTCATAAGAGTACTTTTGAATAAATATCATGTGAAAAATTATACATGTCTCTGTAAGACAGTTTTGGAAGTTATGACTTGACAAGAAAGCCAAGAAATTTTTAAAAAGAAAGAATACAGAGAAATTAAATAAATAAAACTGTTTTTCTTAGATATATGATTGCAAATGTAGAAATTTCTCCCCTAACCTTCCCAGATTAACTGCTACAACAAATAAATGGAGTTAGTGAGTTGTCTATATAAAGAATTAATAGAGACATTTTTTAAGAAAACTTTTTTTTTCCTAAATGAACGGTATGTAAGTAGAGTGAGTTAGTGAAAAAGCACCAGAGAAAGAGAAGGTTAAGGAGAACCTGGTTTAATATGAATAGGCCACCTGTGTTTGCTAATTGGTATTTATCATAGTTAGGATCCTACCCTCCCACAGAGAATGAAAATAGGGACTCTATCCTTCATGATAATTACATTTCAAAGAGATGGCTCCTGGGTCTTTGAGAAAGACATTCCTGAGCAAAACTGGCAAGAGGCTGGGGGAAGATTTACATCCCCAAGGGAAAGAGAAAAAATTTACAATTGCGAGTTTTCAAAAGTAAGTGCTCTAAAGAAGGGAAGATCAGCCGGCCGCGGTGGCTCACGCTTGTAATCCCAGCACTTTGGGAGGCCAAGGTGGGTGGATCACCTGAGGTCAGGAGTTCGAGACAAGCCTGGACAACGTGGTGAAACTCCGTCTCTACTAAAAAATATAAAAATTAGCCAGACGTGGTGGCGCATGCCTGTAGTCCCAGCTACTCGGGAGGCTGAGGCAGGAGAATTGCTTGAACCCAGGAGGCGGAGGTCGCAGTGAGACAAGATTGCACCATTGCATCCCAGCCTGGGTAACAAGAGTGAGACTCTGTCTCAAAAAATAATTAATTAATTAATTAATTAAAAATAAAAAAGAAGGGGAGGTCGGAGGCCTATTGTCAGGAAGTAACTGGTCTAAAAGTTTAGTCAAGCTAAGAGGAAAATTAAGACCATCTTTGTCAATGTCCATAACAAAAATCAGCATATTTATTTGTTAATTTGACAAAGTTTTTGTTCTTATAGGATATTAGATTTTTCTAGCTATCTTTTGTTACTGGTTCCTTATTCCATTAAATTATGGTCAGCAAATGCAATATGTACAATATTAATTTTTTAAAATCTCTGAGATTTGCATTCTGAAATACTATTTTCCATATATGTTCCAAAAGTTTCTTAAAACAATCATAATTTGCCATTATACACACATACACACACACATACATACACATATACACATATACATATATAAGCACACATCCTTCCATAACTATATACACATATATGGATATATACAAGCATTTATATATACTATAAATGATATTCCACTATAGGATGAGAGATATTTAATATGTTATGAACAGATTTTGCCATACTATATAATACAGAACATGTTCACAATATTAAGAACATAATCTAGAGTACTCAAGCTATAGTTACATGCTTGTTGCTAGACATGAATAGTCTGATTTTCATCAATGTTAGGGCTAAACCAAATATATAAAAGTATTACATGAATATAGGGAAAAAGAACTTAAGAAAATATAATTTTCTGCTGCTTTATCTATGCTTACTAATTATACGAAGTCCTTTGAAATGAATTACTTATTAAGTAAAAGTACTTATTAAGGAATATTTCACAGTAAGTTCAGTAAGTTGGAGAACAATTTCTTTTAACAATTCATATTTCTGCAGATAAACTAAAGATTGTAAGATTATTGGCAAAAAAGTAATGTTAATTAAGAAAGACTTTTGAGGTCCCCACTATTCATTTCTAGAAATAAACTGATATCAGTTTGGTATTAATTTGGGGAATACCTTTTTAATTGTTCAAAATGTTGGACTATGCAATGTAATTAATGACCCAATTTCAATGATTTTTTCATTGTATATTCTTTGACCAAATATAGAAAAAATAGATAACGTAATATGCCTATAAAAATTATCTGGGCAAAATACAACTTTTTCTATTCTTTCCTGAAATTAAACCATGTTGAGCATGGTGTTGCAAAAAATGTCCTGGTAACTCATCAATGGCAATTTTGTGAAATTCAATTATCACTGAATTTTACCTTATACAATTACATTATAAATGAAAAACTTTTTTTCCTGAAAAGAGTCTTAAGTACAAATTAGTTTCAGCAGGGATTCTGTTTTACAAATCATCACAATCTGCTCAACTCACTTCCTGGAGAAATGCCTAAGCTGTTTGGTTAAGAATTATACACTTGGAAAATTCTTGTTTGCTATAATACATATAAAAAAGGATTATAAACCAACAGTGCTGAATAATATTACAGTGTATTATCTTGTGCTTCTTGTCACCTACAGTGACTGATGCTTATCATTCACTTAATTACTGTATTTAAAACATATGTGTTGTTGTCTTTAACCGCTACAGTATTCTATCCTTTAAAATTTCTGGGTTCCCATGTTATTGCTACTAATAATAAGCTGTTTATTCAAGTTTTTCAGAAACAAAAATTTGAATATAGAAAGATTTGTGTATTCACTAGAGTTGATCTTAAAGGAATGTCTAAACAGAAATATAAAATGTCTCACACATAAATTTTAAATAAATATGTCAAATATCTGTTTATGTTGGTTCCAAGAATGTAAGTCAAACTCTTTACCTGTTTATGTATGTGTAAAATAAACAAATAAATAAACAAAAATGACACTTATTTGAAAGGCTGGGGCAACTTTTTAAGCAAGTAAAATAAATTATCTAGTTGATGTTTTTATAAATCCATTCTTATGCTTTTGTCATTATTAAAACAGCATTTTGAGGTCAGTGTTTATACAGAAAGCAGTAATAATAGTAGCACATAATTGTATGCAACTTTATATTTTATAAAAAAACAATTTTTATACTCTATCATTTCATTACTCTTTTTAAACAACAAGGAATAAGACTCATAATCTGTAGAGTCTAGGATTTCTAATTTTCACTTATCTGGGTATCCCACTATAGCATGCTAGAGAAGTATAAATTAAGCCTTATGTAACAGTGGAGTAATAAGTATAGATTATTTTATCGTATGCAACAATAATCATTCCTGAAAGGCGGTAAATCAGATCCAAAGGCCATTGACTGTACATGTTTTAAAAAATCAAGACTGACAAAAAGGGAAAGAAAAACATATGACTACATATCCACATGTACACACACACTGATATAATCAGATTGTGCATTCCAAAATTCATGTGTTGAAACTTAATCTGCAGTGTGATAGTATTAAGAGGTGAGGCCTTTAGGGTGTGACTAAGTCATGAGGCAAAGCCCCCATGAATGAGATTAGCAACTTTATAGAAGAGGTGGGTGGGATCAACACTCCTTTGTTCCTTTTGCTCTCCAGACCATTCTGTCCTCTGTGGACACAGCATCCATCCCTTCCAGAGAACACAGCATTCAAGGCATCGTATCAGAAGCACAGGACTGTGCTCTCACCGGACACCAAACCTGTCAGTGTCTTGATCTTGGACTTCCAGCTTCAGAACTGTGAGAAATAAGTTTATAATCCTTATAAATTACCCAATCTCAGGTATTTTGCTATAGCAGCACTACAGCACTGAGGCATATACAGTGCACAATATTTAACATCAGTTTTCTTGTGAGAATTGTCCACAATTCAAATTCTCAGAAGATATGAGGTGATCTTATTTTGTGTTAATCATGGGACAGGATGTAGGAGCAACACGATTAGGTCGCAGTTTAGCGGCCTTTGCTTAGAAAATTGGGGTGTAGCAAGAGTTGGGGAAAATGGTTTGGGGATAAGATCTAGAAGGGTCATCACCTAAGATACTTAGTCCCGAAGAGTCCTTAGCAAGGAAGGGAACAATTAACATTGTTTTGAAATGTTTCTGTACTATTACTTGATTTCATTTCTTAGAGTTGACAACATATTATTTCTTTAGGTATTTAAAATAATTTGGAACAAAACAATGGTTTCTAAACAAAAATAAGTGATTGTTTTTGTTTGATTCCTTAATAATTGTTTAATATCACTATATTTACCACGTAACAAAGTGTCTTAGTTTAAATGACTCAGTTCTAGGCCAAACACTTGGCAATGCCTTTGTACCTCCAATCCTACTTTCATGTTTATTCTATTGTAAAAACTATAAATGCCACTAAGTTGTATCAATGTACTAAAGAGACTTTTCTATGTTGGTTAAATTTAAGACAGCCCCCATTTGATTGTCATTGGTCATTTCAAACATTTTATATATTAGTTTGTTTTCATACTGCTGATAAAGACATACTGAGACTGGGTAATTTATAAAGAAAAAGAGATTTAATGGATTCACAGCTCCACATGACTGGGAAAGCCTCACAATCATGGCAGAAGGCAAAAGGCACGTCTTACATGGCAGCAGACGAGAGGGAATGAGAGCTAAGCAAAAGGGGAAACCTCTTATAAGACCATCACTTCTCATGAGACTTATTCACTACCATAGGAACAGTATGGAGGAAACTGCCCCCATGATTTAATTATCTCCCACCATGTTCTTCCCACAACACATGGGAATTATGGGAACTATAATTCAAGATGAGATTGGGGTGGGGACACAGCCAAACCATATTATTTGACTTACTAATTTTTTATCAATAACTTACAGGATAGCTCAAAGGTCAAACACTTTGGCTTTCTCTTATTTTCCCTCAAACACTTATTATATATACGTGCTTCCACAGCCAAATATAAACTGGCAAAATTAAGGTCATTATCCTCATAAATAACAGTAAAAACGTGCTTTTGAATAAAATTGAACATAATTTTTAAATTGTCCCTTTCTGATTACCTTGTTAATTTATTTCAACAAATCATTGTGAAATCTTTTCTTGACTTTTACAAAATTTAAAAATATGTAATCATATTTTCTATATTAGTGGCATAATTAGGTTTATATCTAGACCAGAGATATAAGAAGAAATCAGAAATACTTTGAGTAGAGAGCCCACATGGTATTTTACCCTGCTTTGAAATGAACAACTGAGTCTGTCATAGTTTCATAGATTCTGACACTCATGAATTGGCTCACTTGAATGTGGGGGCTGACAAATCTGAAATCTGTAGGACAGGCCAGCAGGCTGAAAACACAGGCAATATTTGAGGCTGCAGTCTTTTTCTGTTTTGTTTTTAATTGACAAAAAATAGCATATTTTTTCATGGTGTACAATGTGATGCATTTATATATGTATGCACTGTGAATGACTAAAACTCATTAACATTTACCTCACCTCACTTATCTTTTAATTTGTGTAAGTAAAAGGGGTGCAAGAGCAATTTTGTTATATGGATGTATTGCCTAGTGGTGGTAAGAACATTTAAAATCTACTCCCTTAGCAATTTTCAGATATACAGCACATTGTTATTAACTACAGTCACCATGCTGCTATGTTGTTTCCTGGGCCTTATTCTTTCTAACTGCAATTTTGTACTATTTGACCAACATCTCCCTCTTCTGTCTTCTTTCTCTGGCCCCTGGTAAGCACCCTTCAACTCTCTCTTTTTTGTGAGTTCAACTATTTATATTCCACATACAAGTGATGTCATTCAGTATTTGTCTTTTTATGCCTGGCTTGCACTGAACATACTGTCCTTCCAGATTATCCATGTTATTGCAAATGCCAAGATTTCCCTTATTTATTTATTTATTTATTTTTGAGCTGGAGTCTCATTCTGTTGCCTAGGCTGGAGTACGGTGGTGCGATCTCAGCTCACTGCAACCTCCATCTCCTGGGTTCAAGCAATTCTCCCACCTCAGCCTCCCAAGTAGCTGGGATTACAGGCACCCACCACCACAGCCAGTTAATTTTTGCATTTTTAGTGGAGACGGGGTTTCACCACATTGGCCAGGCTGGTCTCGAACTCCTGGCCTCTGGTGATCTGCCTGTCTCGGCCTCCCAGAGTGCTGGGACTACAGGCATGACCCACCACATTCGGTCAAGATTTCCCTTTTTTAGGGCTAAATAGTATTCCACTGTGTATCCATATCACATTTATTTACCTAAGTATCTGCTGATGGACACACTGATGGACATTCAGATTTACTTCATATCTTGGCAATTGTGAAAAATTATTCAATAAATATGGGAGTGTAGATATCTCTTGAAGAGCCTGACTTCATTTTCTTTGGATATATATCCTGTAGTGAAATTATTGGATCATATAGTAGTTCTTTTTATAAATTTTTGAATAACTCCTATACTTTTTCTCATAATGGCTGTCCTAATTTACATTTTTAGCAAGAATATACAAAGGCTCCCTTTTCTCCACATTTATGTCAACACTTGTTATCTTTCATCATTTTCATGGTAGCCATTCTAGCAGATATGAGGTTATATCTCATTGTGGATTTAATTTCATTTCCCTGATGTGTGATGTTGAGCATATTTTCTTATACCTAGATAGCTGTTGGACATTTGTATTTCTTTTTTAGAAAAGTGTCTATTCAGGCCTTTTGCCTATTTTAAAATCCAGCTATTTGTTTTATTGCTATTATTTGGCTGCTATATATATACACACATATATATGTAAATACATATATATGCTATATATACATATATATGTAAACTCATACGTATACATATACATTTACATATATACATATATATGTAAAATTATATATACGTTTACATATGTAAACGCATAAATATGTTTACATGTATACATATACATATTAAACATATACATATGTACACATGTATACATATATGTATATACATATATACATACACATATATACATACACGTATATACATATATACATACACATATATACATATATGTAAACACACATGTGTATATACACATATATACATATATGTAAACACACGTGTGTATATACACATATATACATATATGTAAACACACGTGTGTATATACACACATACATACATGTAAACACACGTGTGTATATACACACATACATACATGTAAACACACGTGTGTATACACACATACATATATGTAAACACACGTGTGTATATACACATATATACATACATGTAAACACACGTGTGTATATACACACATACATACATGTAAACACACGTGTGTATATACACACATACATACATGTAAACACACGTGTGTATACACACATACATATATGTAAACACACGTGTGTATATACACACACATATATGTAAACACACGTGTGTATATACACACACATATATGTAAACACACGTGTGTATATACACACACATACATATATGTAAACACACGTGTGTATATACACACACATACCTATATGTAAACACACGTGTGTATATACACACATATACCTATATGTAAACACACGTGTGTATATACACATATATACCTATATGTAAACACACATATGTATATATACATATATACCTATATGTAAACACACATATGTATATATACATATATGTGTAAACACACATATATGTGTTTACATATCTATGTGTGTGTATATATACACACACATGTATATATGTGTGTATATATACACACACATGTATATATGTGTGTTTACATATATATGTATGTTTGTGTGTGTGTGTATATATATATGTGCCAGTAAACGTTTATATTTATTCTCTGCTATGGACTGAATTGTGCCCTCTCCCTAAAGTCCTATGTTAATGTATCTTAAGTCAAATCTCCAATGTGACTGCAATTAGAGATGGGATCTTTAGGAGATAATTAAAGTTAAATGAGGCCATAGTGGTGGGCCCTACTTTGATAAAACTGATGGCCTTTTTAAAAATTGGTTTTTATTTTTAATTTTTTTTTTTTTTTTTGAGACGGAGTCTCGCTCTGTCGCCCAGGCTGGAGTGCAGTGGCGGGACCTCGGCTCACTGCAAGCTCCGCCTCCCGGGTTCACGCCATTCTCCTGCCTCAGCCTCCCAAGTAGCTGGGACTACAGGCGCCCGCCACTACGCCCGGCTAATTTTTTGTATTTTTAGTAGAGATGGGGTTTCACCGTTTTAGCCGGGATGGTCTCGATCTCCTGACCTCGTGATCCGCCTGCCTCGGCCTCCCAAAGTGCTGGGATTACAGGCGTGAGCCACCGCGCCCGGCCTATTTTTAATTTTTAAAGATACATAACAGTTGCATATTTTTATGAAGTGTATATAGTATTTTGATATAAACACATAATGGTCATATATTTTTAATAACACCTTATTAGATGTATAGTTTGCAAATATTTATTATCATTTTGTAGGTCTTCTTTTTACTCTATTGATTATATCCTTTGCTGGGCAGAATATTTTTACTTTAATGTAATCCTGTGTGTGTAGTTTTGCTTTTGTTCCCTGTGCTTTTGGGGTCATATCCAGAATGTCAATTCCCAGACCAGTTATGGAGCTTTTCCCCTGTTTTGTTCTAGTTGTTTCATAGTTTGGGGTTTTACATTTAAGTCTTTAATGCATTTTGAGTTGACTTCCATCTGTGATATGAAATAAGGCTTATTTCTTTCTTCTGTGGGCACATACCCATTTGTCCCAACAACATTTACCGAAGAGACACTTCTTTCCCCATTGTGTGTTCTTGACACCTTTGTCAAAAATCAGTTGGCTGCCAATGTCTCAATTTATTTCTGGGCTCTCTATTCTGTTCTATAAATCTATGTGTTTGTTTTTGTGCTAGTGCCATACTGTTTTCATAACTAGAGCTTTGTAGTATATTTTGAAGTCAGGTCATATGATACTTTTAGCAGTTTTCTTTCTTCTCCAGATTGCTTTAGTTATTCAGAGTCTTTTGTAGTTCCATACCCATTTTAGGATTCTTTTTTCTATTTTCCTGAAAAATGTCATTAGTACTTAGAAAGAGGATGCATTGAATATGTAGACTGCTTTGGGTAGCATGAGCATTTTAACATTAATTTCTTTTTCAATCCATAAACTTGGTATATATCTTTCTATTAATTTGTGTTTTCATTTTTTCATCAATGTTTCATAGTTTTTAGTATAGAGATCTTTCATTTCTTTGGTTAAATTTATTTCTAGGTATTTCATGTTACTTTTTTCTAGATTCTGATTGTGTCCATTTGTATTAGTCAGGGTTCTCCAGAGGGACAGAACTAATGGGATAAACGTATATATAAAGGGCCACAGTAGGCCTTCTGCAAGCTGAGGAACAAGGGAGCCAGTCCCAAAACCGCAAAAGTAGGGAGGCCAATACTGCAGTCTTCAGTCTGTCGTTGAAAGTCCAAGCATCCAAAAGCTGAAGAACTTGGAGTCCAATGTTTGAAAACAGGAAGCATCCAGGACAGGAGAAACATGCAGGCTGCAAGACTAAGTCAGTCTAGTGTTTTCACGTTCTTCTGCCTGCTTTTATTCTGGCCATGCTGGCAGCTGATTACATTGAGTCAGTGAACTGGGAAAGGCAGACCCACCCAAATTGAGGACTGCCTTTCACAGTCCACTGACAAAAAATGTTAATCTCCTTTGGCAACACCCTCACAGACACACCGAGGAACAATACTTTGCATCTTTCAATCCAACCAAGTTGACAATCAATATTAACCATCACACCATTGATTCTTCTCATTCCTTGGCTTTCAGTTGCATCACTCCAATCTCTGTGTTTATCATCACCTGGTGTTTTCTCCATATGTCTTGTCTCTCTCTCTTCTTTGTATAAGGACACCACTTATAATGAATGAAGGGCCTATTTTACTGATTGTTACTTTATCTTAGAGCAAGTAATTTCATCTCTAATGACTCTATTTACAGAAAAGGTCATAATCTGAGGTAATAACAATTAGGACTTCACAATTTTGGTGGGGAGACACAATTCAACCTATAACAATAGATGAAAGAATGTTTCCCAAAATTTTAATTTAATGATAAATCATTTCTGACTTTTGGGGAAAACCCCTTTGGTAAATATTATATTTTTCTAAGTTCTCTTCTAGCCAGTAATGTTAATTTTTAAATAATCCATGCTTTTATATCAGGGGCTTTTAATCTGTAAAGCAGGTGTGTATATGAGAAAATGTTTTATCAAAGCATTTTTAGTTTTTCTCTTTGATATGTACAGAAATGCAAAATGTTAAAGAAGCATAGATTAAAATTGCACTGATGATTAAGGGTCAGAAAAACCTATGTGGGTGATGGGAAAACTATGAAAAATATTAAACAATACACATAGTTATGCATGTGAATAAGACAATATAGAGAATAAATGCAAAGTGTAAGCAAATCTAAGAGTAAAAAATGTGAATAGAAAACCATGTATGTGTGCATATATATTCATGTGTATATTCTGTGTATATATGTGTATGCCTATAATGTATGCACAACAAATACACAGACATGTATACAAATACACTCTGAGGAAGTGGTAGATTTAATGGGAAAAATAAGCAGGAATAAAAGCTGTTGTGGAAAGTCAGGGACCCTGAACGGAGGGACTGGCTGGAGCTGTGACAGAGGAACATAAATTATGAAGATTTCACGGACATTTATCAGTTCCCAAATAATACTCTTATAATTTCTTATGCCTGTCTTACTTTAATCTCTTAAGCCTGTTATCTTCCTAAGCTGAGGATGTGTGTCACCTCAAGACCACTATTGTGTTAACTGTACAAAATGATTGTAAAATGTGTGTTTGAACAATATGAAATCAGTGCACCTTGAAAAAGAACAGAATAACAGCGATTTTAGGGAACACGGGAAGACAACCATAAGGTCTGACTGCCTGCAGGGTTGAGCAAAAAGAGTCGTATTTTTCTTCTTGCAGAGAGCCTATAAACGGACATGCAAGTAGGGAAGATATCACTAAATTCTTTTCCTAACAAAGAATATTAATAATTAATACCTTGGGGAAGGAATGCATTCCTGGGGGGAGGTCTATAAACAGCCACTCTGACAGTGTCTGTCTTATGTGGTTGAGATAAGGACTGAAATATACCCTGGTTTCCTACAGTACCCTCAGGTTTATTACAGTGGGGAAAAAACCCCACTCTGGTAAATTTAAGGTCAGACCAGTTCTCTGCTCTCGAACCCTGTTTTCTGTTGTTTAAGACGTTTATCAAGACAATACATGAACAGCTGAACATAAACCCTTATCAGTAGTTCTGCTTTGCCCTTGTCCTGTTCCCTCAAAAGCATGTGATCTTTGTTCTCCTTTTTGCCCTTTGAAGCATGTGATCTTTGTGACCTACTCCCTGTTCTTACACCCCCTCCCCTTTTGAAATCCTTAGTAAAAACTTGCTGGTTTTGCAGCTCAGGTGGGCATCATGGTCCTGCCAATATGTGATGTCACCCCCAGAGGCCCAGCTGTAAAATTCCTCTGTTTGTACTCTTTCTCTTTATTTCTCATCCGGCCGACACTTATGGAAAATAGAAAGAACCTACGTTGAAATATTGGGGGCGAGTTCCCCCAATAAAAAGCATACAGATTTATGTATTTTTTGTTCTAGCAAGCACATAAAATACATCTTGTAAGTCAGTGGTATTCCAGCCAATTCTTTTGCCATTGTTAGTCTGTCATGAGCTTTTTGGTGATTTATGGAAAAATAAGAAAATGTATTAATTTTATTGTTAATGAGAATTCATTTAATTTAAATAAATTTTTAGTTTTGCATATTTTGAGATATTATATGTTGTATATTTGTTGTTATCTAATATTATTTTTTAAGATATGTGAAATATAACAACTGGTAGTTTTTCTTTAAATCTTCAATTTTTACTGGTTTAACTTTCTAACTAATTCAACAATATAAATGGAAAATTATTGGTTTCTCTCTTAATTTTATGTATAATAAACTTTTCCAGGCTGTGAAATTCAAATTTTCATAATTAGTGTTGTAGTTAATACACCATTATTAATAATGTTTAGTCAGGAGAGAATCATACTTTTATGTTTGATTGCATATTTTCATAAAAGGATTATAAATAACTGTCCATAGCAACTTTATTTTTAACAGCCCAGAACTGAAAACCACAAAGCCCAAATTCCCATCAACAAGTAAATGGATAAACACATTGTAGTACACGCACATGATGGAACACTATTGAGCAATACAAAGGAATGAATTATCAATACTTGCAAAATGTGTATTGATTTCAAAAAAAATATGCTGAGTGAAAGAAGCCAAGCATAAATAGCACATGCTGTGTGATTCTATTTATATAAAACTTTGAACATTCTAAACATCTATAGTGACAAAAAGTAAATCTGTGGTTGCCTGTGATCAGGGAATTAGCAGGGGTGGTAAGGAGGGATTACAAAGGAGCTTGAAGAAAACTGATGAGGATAAAAATAAGGTCAAGATCTTGATTGTGGTGATGTTTTTACAACAGTGTATATGTACATACATATACACACACACACACATATACACTTTGCATATCTGCATAAAGAGGACTTCAGTAACCTCAATGAACAGGTAAACTAAATTATACCTCACAGATGAATTATAATATTTTTAGTAGAATCAGTATAGCCTGTAGAATGTAGACTGTGGATATTTACATGGGAAAAACATTCTTGTTAATCCTTCTCCTCATGGATAGAGAGAAGTGAGCAATTTCAGTCTTGACTCAGAGCAATTTTAACTCTTTTGCTGTCCTCTACATTATAATTTTAAGGCATATATTCATTCAAAAGTTTACCGAACATTTTGATGGCCAGTTATTTTGATAAGCTTGGTTAGTTAAACCTAATAAACATACATTGGAAGCTATTCTAGATGTTCTTGTAACTTTTCAAAGCATGGTAGACAGTCTACGATGATTCAGGATTAACAAGAATGTCTTTTCCATGTAAATACTCACCGTCTACATTCTACAGGCTATATTGATTCTACTAAAAATATTATAATTGGCCTGCAAGCTATAATTTAGTTTACCTGTTGATTGAGGTTACTGAAGTCCTTCCTTACCCACTTTGATCAACTATTTTTTAAAATAGCTTTATTGAAATAAAATTAATCACAACAAACTTCAGATACTCAAACTTCAGATATTCAGATATGCAAATTATGTATGTATACACATATATTGTATACATATATATTTATATTTATGTAAAGGAGTAAAATAGAGATTTATGTATTCAGATATGCAAAATGTACATATGTGTATATATATATATGTATATACATATACACTGTTGTAAAAACATCACCACAATCAAGATCGTGACCTTATCCATTAATCTCATCAGTTTTCTTCAAACTCTTCTGTAATCCCTCCTGCTATATGGTCCTGCTATATGAACAAGATCTCATGATATGAAGCTCTCTGTGGCAGGTAATTGTAACAGGTGTTGTCTTTTAAAAGTCCTAATAGAAGGGTCGCCTTTATGACCCTAGGGGCCTAGAACAAAATTATATTGTTGCTGCAGAGACTTATAAACCGTATGAAAGCAGTGCCTGCTATTAAACTTAGTCTTGGTAGAGACTCAATATATAACTGTGGGACACCACACCAAGTGACTATTTATCCATAACTGTCTACCACGAATGTGGTAACATCAAAACTGTCACGTCATAGGGCTTGGTGGGCACAGCACCAATCACTCTTAAGATGTATATTGTTCACCTGGAATTAGGCTTCATAAAGTACAGAGAACATACATAATAGCATTAACAAATATTCCACACCCAAGGACCATATGTAACCTACCATCACTGAAATGATACCTCTCCACTTGCTCACAGATATTGTCTCATGGGCATTTGTTACAATAGTGGAAAAAAGGGAAACATGGATTGGTCACCTTGGTATAGTGATGAATGACTAGACCTTTACCACAAAATAACTACACTATAATTTCGTATGTTTCTAAAAGATTTTGGTTTGCTTTGAGGTCTATATATTGTCATCCACTTTATGTACAAAGATTCTTCAAAGTAAAAATATGCATGTAATCATGAATAAAGCCAACTGGTTTGGCATATTGGCTAGTAATTAGAGATGAGAGAAACTGGGAGATCAATGTTGGCCTAGAAGCCTGGAAAAGAGGCTTATGGGTAGACATACAGGAATGGGAATACAGGATGTGTCTGTTGTATCACATATAAATACCTAAAGAAAGCATTTACTGCAGAAGAATATTAGTGAACCAGATGACCAAGATGATTTCTCCAGACATTGTCATTGTCATTCAAGATCCTGTGTGATGCACCAGTAATTAGAGTAGTCATTGTAGCAGAGGTGGTGGCTACATAATGGGCCTAACATTAAAGGCTTTCATTCTACAAGACAAAATTAGCTACTGCCACTGCTCTATGTCAAAATTCTCTGAAGAAGAGACTGAAGCTAAGCAATTTATATTGTACAATTCCTTTAGGAGAATAACCAGTACACGAAATGAAGAATTTGATGAATTATAAGCCAAGGACTGTGAATAGAGGCAAATAATATTTTGGAATACATAAATATGTAAATTCTTAATTTATACTAATTAAAATTACACTATAGGCAGGGCAAGGTGGCTCACGCCTGTAATCCCAGCACCTTGGGAGGCTGAGGTGGGCAGATCACAAGGTCAGGAGATCGAGACCATCCTGGCTAACACGGTGAAACCCCCTCTTTACTAAAAATACAAAAAAATTAGCTAGGTGTGGTGGAGTGTGCCTAGTCCCAGCTACTCGGGAAGCTGAGGCAGGAGAACAGCATGAACCTGGGAAGTGGAGCTTGCAGTGAGCTGAGATTGCGCCACTGCTCTCCAGCCTGGGCAACAGAGTGAGACTCCATCTCAAAAATATAAATAAATAAAAATAAATTACACTATCACATTTTAAATTATAATTTTGCTAAATAAAATACAATTTTAATTTTATTTAATGAAGTGATTTAAGCAAAAGTTTGCATATTACAATACATTAAAAGATACCAAAAAATGCTTTTAAAAGTTGAGACTATTTCCATTATTTTACAATCATTTTAATTTTGATGAAAGTGAATTTGGCAAATTAGTCTTTATGAACAATCTTTGTGAAAACTCTTCATTAAATGACTTGTCCTTAATATTATTTTTCTGTGACATTGATTTTAAACTATTATGTCTTCTAATCATCTCACTTATATATGAACTTCTCATGGCTATTTCCTTAATTACTGCCTAGTTATCCACTCAAAGTAGAAAACTGGTGACTGGAGTATATCAGCCTTTGTTCTGGATGACCAGTGAATATATTACATAATTATTGGGACACTTCTGGACATAATGATAACAAACCCTTAATTTTTTGCATTAATTATTAACAATGAATATATCTGTTCTAGCAATCCAAAATACTCAGGATATTTTTGAGTTCACTCTTGCATTTATACTAGTAAAATATTATTACCAGAGCTGAATGGTAACATGTTTATTCTCTCTCCCGTGGAGTCACATGCAAAGAAACTATGGCTAATACAAATATGAGAGATGCACATATAATTTGCTGATCAAATTAAAACAATAAAAACAAAACAAAAAAGATTTAATTTAAACTTTCCACGTACAAAAGCTTGTATTTATTGATTTTTTAAGGAAATAGCATATTATCTTGAAAATTGCTATTAAGAAATACAGTTGGCTATTTTTGCACTCAAAATTATTTTAGAGATCGTGATAATGCACTACCCCTAAATGGTTTTTCACATGTATGTATATATAAAGAAAATTTAATGACTAGAAGCACGAGGAACTGAAACATAAACGGGAAAGAAACATGCTTTGGAAGCTAGCCCAATTTATTGAGTAGGAGTAACAATAAATATAGAATTGTTGTAGGAGTCAAACTGGGAACAGTTAAAGAAAAATCAGCTAGGATTTTCAGCATAAAAAAAGTACATGTATTTGAAATATTTAAATAACCAAATAAGAACAAATACATTTGACTTTATAGTTTTTTTGAATGAGAACAAAATTTTACTAACATCTATTTTTATTTAGCCCACTAGGATTCTGACAGCAGTTATTATTTTTTTTAATATTCTATTGTGCAATGAATTCTATTTGATACTCTGAGTCAGTGATATTAAATAAATGCTTGATATTTTCTCCTATTTCTCTGCCTCCTCCTCCTGCTGCTGCTTCTCCTTCTTTTCCTGTCTTTCTCTCTGTCTGTCTGTATCTCTTATTTTCTCTCTCTCTCTCCTCTTACTTCATCCAGTGGCATAAAATACATTGTATTTGCATCAGTGAGCATGATTCTGATGTTGGACATGACTAAGTATTCGTTGATAACTTACATGTTAATTATTCTAGATATTATCTTTAGATTACTGAATTATGATAACCACTAAGAAGAAATATTTTGAATTTTTTACGTGTATTTTGATTTCAAAGAAAAGTTAAACTGATTAAACAATTTCTGTAAATAAATACATTGAAAATAAAAACGTTCTAATTTGTGGTTATATCAGTTTATATACTTTAATTGTTATCTGACTATCCATAAAATTATACCTTGCGATTTCTACCATTAGTTTTACAAATACTGCATTAATAAATTACACGTTATATCAACTTCAAAACACAAAAACGGGATTTCTATGGCAACTAAACAAACTCATTTATATCAGTCTTATTTCTTTATCTTTAATGTCTTTGATTTGTAATTTCAAGAAAGATTCATTTAACACACAAATAATTATTCATGCCCTTTGTAAATAAACAAACATTTTGTCTTGTTTTAAAATAACATTTTGAATATGTACTTAAAATGCATGTGGATCTTAAGTCAGTGTTATTTAAAATCAACATTTCTGAGAGGCTGAGGTGGGAAGATGGCTTGAGGCCAGGAGTTCAAAGACAAGCCTGGGCAAGATGGTGAGACCTAGCCTCTAGAAAAAAAATTTAAAAAGAAGATTGGACAGCATGTGGTACGTGTCTGTTGTCCCAGCTACTCAGGAGGCTGAGGCAAGAGGATCTCTTCATCCCAGGAATTTGAGGAGGCAATAAATTACGACCATGCCACTGCACTTCAGCCTGGGCAACAAAGTGAGACCTTGTTTCTAAAAATAAATAAATAAATAAATAAATAAATAAATAAATGCATATTGCTTGCTACCTTAAATAAGATAAACTTTTTCCTTTTAGTGAAGACAAATAGTAGCTTAATATCAGTGATAAGAACAAAACCCCATCTTATTGCAGTTATTGAAATTCTTACTTTACTTTTATAATTCTTCCATCATTTTTCATCTGATAACCAATTTTTTTTCCATAAACATATAAACTCATTATCTTAAGCACATATCAGTAGCTCCTTAAAATGTTAGGATAATTGTAATTTTTATTTAAAATAACATTTAAAAATTAATATTAATAACAATAAATGATTATAAAGTCTATATTTATATTGAGTTAACATTTAAATTTAAACAATGCATTTTGGTCTAAATCATGAAAAATTTTGTTATTGCTTTTATTAGAGATTCTGTTCAATTTATACATGTGAATTAATTTTTGGTCAGTAAAATCTTTAAGAAGGTTCTATTTCTTGTAATTTTATAGAATTGATAAAAATCAACCATCCCTTACAAAAGAATATAGATAAACTATAATGCATGATCCTGTGTGAAAACATAAAACTATGATCCTGTGTGAAAACATTAAAATAACACAAATGCAGCCATATTTGGAGGAGCCTGCATTCTGACCTGTAGAGCAGCCCCATGAAACCTCTAGTAAAACTGTGAAAAACTAGAGTAAGATAAACAAATCGTAAAAGCAAAAGGAGAAAAGTACACATTAATGTCAAAGGAGTACATACAGATAATTCTTTAGCTTTTCAACAGAAACAGTGAAAGTACAAAAACAATGGCATTCCATAATTAAAGTGGTGAAAGGAAATAACTACCATCAAATTTACATTCTAAAACATATGAAGATATGTTTTTCAGAGACAAGAAAGGTGCTTCCAGTTGAAATAGAAATGTAAAACAATGAAAATGAAAAAGGTATTAAAACAACTAATAAAAATGGAAAACATGTTAGTAAATGTAAATAAATACTGAGCAATAAATGAATATTGAAATATTTATCATGTAATTTAAAATGCTCATCAAATAAAATCACAAGTGACAATATTCCAAGAGGTAAAATAAAGGCACTATGAGTTAATGTAGTCTTAATTTTTTAGAACTAGCAGTTAAATAGCTCTATATTTAATAGAACTAAAAAGAGAAATAAATCAACCATCATATTGCAAAATTTCAACAAATAATTCTGTTAATTGATACAGTGAAATGTTAAAAAAATAGTAAATACATAGAAAATAAGAGCAATGTATTCACAATGAGCAAACAATATTTATTTTTAAGGGCTTATGGAATATGCCCAAATGTTTTATATATTTATCAAAACTGACCATGTGTGGGTCCGTAAAACAATATCAACAAATTTCAAAGTACTGACATCATCGAACATATGTTCTGCAAATATAGTGGAACTGAGCTATAAATAAATAGATAGCCATACAGATTATTAATAAATCCTCTCAGTTTGAAAATTATTCAGTACACATGTAATGTTCCCATAGGCTAAAAACGTCATTTAAATTTCAAATTATTTTAACTGAATAGTAATTAAGAAATGCCATATAAAACTTGTTGGGAGCATCTAAACTCACATATATAAATTAATATTGAAGTGCATATAGAAGAAAACAAAGCCCCAAAATCAATAATCTAAAAATCTGGATCATGAATTTAAAAATTAAACACAAAGAAAAGAGAATGAGTAAATTGATAAATATAAAAGTGGAAATAAATGTGATAGGGCATACGATAGAGTAAAAGCCTAAAAGTTGGTTTTCTGAAAAGACTAGTATTATTAATACTAAAGAATTATATTTATAATAAAACCTTAGGTGGAATTGATAAATGGTGCCCCAAAAAAGAAGACACGAAGATCTATATCAGAAATAAAAATATATCACTATATTTTCATAAAAATACCTTTAAATATTAATAAAACATAAAGATAGAAAATTACAATCTATGAAACTGACATAAAAATATAAATTACAGACAGTCACAAAAGTATTAAATAACTTAAATTTATCATTAAAAGTGAAAACACCATGCTTGATGCCTTAGCAGTGAGTTATTCCATGTAATTGAGGAATAAATTACATCAATATTATAGAAATATCGAATAATTTATTCCATGACATCATTAAACCTACATACTAGAATCTTACAGGGCCATTACAAGGAAGTGAAATTGAAGGTCAATATCACTTTGAATATTGATACCAACAACCTAAAGAAAGTATGGGTACCTTTATCTAGTGACTAAGTAAAATTCAATATATCCATGAGCTAAAGTGCATTAATTTCAGTATTAAAATTTCAATTTAATATTCACATCAACTAATGTTACCTATGAAATTGATATAATATAAAGGTACTTAGCATGTTCATTAGGTGCAAGAGATGGTAAGGGTCCTTAGTAGGAGAAAGTAACCACTTTACATGATAAAGTACAAAAATGACCTATAGCAAACATTATGTCGAAGGGTCAAATAATGCATGTTTGAGATTCAGGATGAAAAGCCAATACCTGTTCTCAAAACTTACATTCACCAGTGTAATAGAAACCTGGATTAGGGCAAGAAGATATAAAAAAGTGAGAAAAGGTATAAGAATTTAAATATGTTAAAGTAAAAATGTTTTCAGTCATAGACAAAATAGTAATCCACTGATATATTTAGAAATGCAAAGTAAATATGTAAAAATAATATATATTATTTTATTGCAGCACAAAAAAGAATATGGAATTTAATGCAATTTATAGTCTTATCAAATACATCAAATGCAAAGGAATAATTTAAATAAAAGATGTGCAAAATAAGTAAACTAAACTACAAAGTATTGTTGAGACAAAGGATAGCAAATCTAATTTAATGGAAGAATGCACAATACTCCTATCTCGAAATATATATTTAGAGGTGTGAATTCTCCTTAAGTTCATCTATAGATCCAATGCAATTCTAATAAAAAGTCTAGCCATTTTAGGAGGATTAAAAATGTATGTGAAAAAATTATATGGAAATGGAGAGGGTCAGAAATAGCCATGACATGCTTGCAAAAGGAAAACAAAGTGAGAGATCTAACCTAACATATTAAGAACTATCATTAAGCCACAGTAATTAAGGATAATGTTAAGCAAGAAGCCGGAAGTAAAAATTGCTGTATACGATGATGCCTATACAAGAAGTTCAAGGTTGGCAACGTTTAATCAGAGGTGTTATAAATAATTATGGCATTTGCACTTTGGGACGAGGGAGGTTAATGGCTTGTCAGGGGCATAAGGTGGTTTCTGGAATGTTGCTCATATCTTATTTCTCCATTTGAATCATAGTTACGTGGATGAGTTCACATTATTAATTTATTAACATTCATGGAGCCAGGCCCTTATTATTTAGGCAGTTTTTCATATGTATGTTATACTTCAATAAACCTTTATTTTAAAATGTATGCTAGATATGAATTACTGCACCCGTTTTTTACATGAAGAATCTGATTCAAAGTTAAATCATTATGCAAGTTTACCACTGTTAAGATCAGTATTTACTTAGTTTGATCTTACCCAAAATTCACGATTTTATACAATAATTATCATGAAAACCTGAAGTTTCCAATGGAGAAAAAAAACGGAAATTGAATCAGTCATTTGGTTGTAAAGAAAACTAAAAGAGTTAGTCTAGAATACCAGGATAATATGAGCAATAAACTAAATTCAAGAAAACAAGACAGATTGATGATATGTACTTCATTGATCTTTCACATTAAGTCTTTCAGTGTAAAGGCTGAAGAATTATATATTTATAAAATTATTTTGGAGAAAATGATTGACAGATTTAACATTACTCTGATCTCCAAACAGGTTGTTATTTTGGACTAAGCTGAAATTCTTTTTATACAATAATATCATCATTTTCCCAGGCTCCTCAATTCAACACTTTTTATGAAGATTGTTTATCAACTGCTGAATATAGCTGTCTGTTTTATATTTGCTTATTATTAGCTGTGTGCTTGATTACTACATGTCTATATTGAGTGGAATATTTTATGCAACAATTCATTTGAAATAGTGTAAGTCTTTGCTTCGATCAATAATTTCTATCATATCTAACATAAAATTTCATTGCGGTTTTTCTTCACATAAAAAGTAAGTAACTTGTTTTTATGCCACACAAGTGTGAAAAGAAAGATATCTTAAGAGTATATAAGTTTATAATTGAATTTTGAAACCCTAAACAGTAAGTCACATTGAAAATTGATCTAGTGACTCATAATTTGATGTGTTTCACTATCCTAGTACAATAGCTTTTTCAAAGGGTAGATGTAAAGATCTTAAGCTTTTTTACAAATTGCTTTCTCCTACACCCATTGTGATTAAGTAGTGTTATCTTCTGTATGTTTGTTCTAAAAGAGTATAATGAATTAATATATTCAGTTAATGAGATGGTGTCCTGATCCTCCCATCTCTTAAAAATTTTCCTCACTAATTTACAAATATGTACATAAAAAATTTATCACACCATGTATGTAAGTATATTATTTAAATTTCAGATCACAAGCCAAAATTATTTTGATGACATTTAAATCTAAAGATTTAAATTTCATTTTGACTGCCTCCTGTAGATATAAATTATTTGGAAAAATATAAAATATTTTTGTCTCTGCGTAGGTCATTAGCTCGTCTCCTTTTCCTCATGATATGTGGGCACTAAGAGAAAAGACGGCAATGGTTGAAGGCTAAAATTTAGGTAACTTAAACTAGGTTTTCTCTTTTTGAAATCTAGGCCATTGTAGACAATTTATCCTATTACCCCAGAAGCGACTGAGATGGTGGAAATTAATGATTAGGTAAGTGAAACTGATCAACAGGTAAGAATTGAAAAAAGGGACCAGGGACTTCTGGACAGAATTTGCACTAATGCTTTGGAGCCATATAGAAAATCATATACAGCACATCAGTTTTACCAGAAACTTGAACACTCACCTCAAGCAGCTCCCTGATACATGACACTCTAATAATTGGATACAATTCTATCCTATCAACATATCAACATATTTTCAATTTATTTAACATTTGTTAAGTACAAGATCGAAAAATGACATTTGTACATTTTTGAAGATAATTATTTGGTTAGATAATTAAACCATACAGTAAAAAAAATCCAATCAAAAAGCGGGCTAAGAACATCAATAGACAATTCTCAAAAGAAGATATATAAATGGCCAACAAGCATATGAAAAAAATGCTCAACATCACTAATCACCAGGGAAATACAAATCAAAACCACAATGAGATACCATCTTCCTCCTACGAGAAGGGCCACAACCAAAAAAAAAAAAATAAAAGACGTTGGCATGGATATGGTGAACAGGTAACACTTCTACGCTAAACGTGGTAATGTAAACTAGTAAAACCACTATGGAAAACCGTGCGGAGATTCCTTAGAAAGAACTAAAAGCAGAACTATAATTTGATCCGGCAATCCCCCTACTGGGTATCTATCCAGAAGAAAAGAAGTCATTATGTGAAAAAGATACATGTACACGCATGTTTATAGCAGCACAATTTGCAATTGCCAAAACGTGGAAGTAATGTTAATTTTAACTGACAAATCATAATCATATATGTTTATATAGTGCAATATGGTGTTTTGATATACGTATTACAAGGTGGAATGAGTGAATTGAGCTAATTAACATACCCATCACCAGAATTATCATTTTTTGTGGTGAGATGTTTGAAATTTACTATCTTGCTTATTTTGAAGTATAGAATATGTTATTATTGACTATAGTCACCTTACTGTACAAAAGATGTCAAAGCTTATTCATCTTGTTTAGCTGAAATTTTGACCAACAATTCTTTATTTTCATCCCCACCTCTCAGCCTCTGATAACCATCCTTCTCTACACCTCTATGAATTTGACTTTTCTAGATTCGACATATAAGTGAGATTGTGCAGTATTTGTCTTTCTGTGCCTGGCTTATTTTATTTAGCACAATACTCTCCAGTTTCATAGGAAGAAAATTCATTCTTTACTAAGGCTGTGCTCTCTTCCATTATTTGCTTGAACTATAGCTAGATATAGCCCCAATTTATCTCTTTCATAGGATTTCTCTGGAAGTGGCAGGATTTGGCTAATACATGTCAGAACTAAATATTTTTCTGTAATTTCCTCATAACCACAGCTTTGGTTGGCTTAAATCATGGCTCCTATGGTCATTTTTAATTATATGTTGTTGATGGTGGTGGGGCATTTCTTTATCATAGAAATAATTATTTGATTTCCAGTTTTCTGTCTCCAATTCTTTGCTGCCTATTGACTGTTCACTTCTAATAAGCTAATAAACAATTTTCAGATTTTTCTACATGCAGCAAGCCACTTCCAGATACCAAACTGTGTACTGTCTGAAGTTACATTAAGCTGACAGTGACACAAAATCCAAAATATTCTACAGAAGTGTATTTCTTTCTTACATAAAATCACATGTGAATAGTTTTATTGCAGGTATAGTGGGCTCATGATCATCATAGCCATGCTGATAGACATAGATATGTTTTTCTCAACCAACTTCAATTTTTGAGTCCTGACTCATTGTTCAAGACTGTTTTTTCATTCCAATATGGTATACCTAGAATCTAAACAGCAAGAATGAAAAAGGGAAAAAAATTAGTTAGAAGCTAAAAGGAGCATACTAGAGACGCTTAGGAAGCTCCTCAGGTGCAGTGTTTCTATATCATTGACTGAAATTTAGTTAATGTGAACTGAAATGACTCAAAGGGGGACTAGAAATAATTCATTATTCCAGGTACCCATGTGTCCATATAATATTTAGGGATTCTATCACAATGGAATAAGAAGGAATAGGTATTAGAAATGAGCAAATAGTCTGAAACATTGACAACATAATATAGAGATGAGTAGTTTTTGTTTTACTTTGGGAATGACGTTGGTGTGCTTGTTGTGGATGAATTAGAGAGCTATCTATCTATTTGTGAGGTTTTCTAAATATTGCTCAGCCATTCTTTCAGTCCACTCTAACTGCCTTTTCACCAGTAATTTTGTTTCTCAGTGCCAGGAACATACAAAAAATACATGAAATATGTATGGGAGTGTTTCCTTACCTGAAAAATGAAGCAATGAGATTAGACAGCCTCAAAATTCACTCCAAAATTTATTATTCTATGACTTTCTTTTCTAAGAATAATACACTTTGTTATTCTTCCAATAAATTGTGAGGGTATGGTAGACATAAATACTGTATTTTTTAAAATCTCTAAATATATTGCACACTATTAACGCTACCTGGAAATTCTACTCATCTCAATAAATTTTTAATGAACAAATGACTATAATAATGTGCCTGTCTCTGGTCATATCTAGGCAAAGTGTCGAGTTGAATTAGTTTAAAAATCCATGATAGCATATTTATTGGTGGACAGAAGAAAAGCAGATAATAATGGATTTCTTGAAAAATTCCATTTCATAAATGAGTTTTTCGCCAATAATAATGATAGAGCACACTTAGAAAATACAAGAGCAAATGAAGCCAAGGAAGAGCTATACTTTCTACAACGAGAACAGTATAATTAAATTTAAAGATAAATATCAATATAGTACTGGTATTACAGTGGGTTTGCTGGCTTTGTTTAGATTGCCTTGAAAAATCCAATGGGTTATATTTTCTGCTTTCTCTACTTAGGCCAAAATGTGAGTAATAAATCACACTCACATTTGTAATAATTTGTTATTTTACACTTTTATTGAAGTATAATTGATGTATAATGAACAATATACTTTTAAAATGAACAATTTGATAACTTTTAATGATAATTTAAATATCTATCTTTATATTATTGTGAAAGTAAAAGCAAGATTTCAGGGCAAAGGCAGATTATTAAGAATTACAGCAGTAATTACATTGTTCTCTCTTGCTACCATTCTTTCCCATTCTAGGATGATGAGATGAGAGGCAGGTTTGCATGTGCGGGAGTCATACCAAAAGATAGGAGCCCTGAAATTAGAAAGTTGAAAGCGTATATAGGACAGCTTACATACCTGTTCTCACCCGCTGAGAGAGGAGGGGCAATCCAATCTTCCTAGTTTGTGCAAATTCTCTTAGGGAAGAAAGGGAAGAGTCCCTCTATTCTTAATGTTTGGAGTGTAAGTAAAAGTTTTTGAGGGTGGGGAGCAGGAGATAAGATGGGCTCCCACTTCTAACATCCAAGTTTTATCCTCATTTAAAAGGTAAACATGTAAGGTTATATTTTCTCAAGAGTTTTAGCTTTCAATCCTTGTTAACTTCCAAGGCTTGTTCTTTAACCAAGGTCCTAAGTTTCTTTGTTCAGAAAAAAAGTTCTAATTGCAAAAACTTGAAAATATAGTTGACTCTTGAACAATGCAAGAGTTGGAGCACTGGCCTCTGCACAGTCAACAAATCATGTAAAACTCTGACTCCCCAGAAACTTAGCTAGTAATATCTTATTATTTACTGAAAGCCTTCTTGATAACATAAAAAATCAATTAATGCATATTTTCTATGTTATGTATATTATATACTGCATTCTTATAATACAGTGAGCTATATAAAAGAAAATGTTTAAAAAAGTCATAAAGAAAAGAAAATGTATTTACAGTTCATTAAGTGGAAGTGGGTCATCATAATGGTCTTCATCCTCCTCATCTTAATGTTGATTAGGCTGAGAAGGAGGAGGAAGAGAAGGGGTTAGTCCTGCTGTCTCAGGGGTGACAAAGATGGAAACAAAAGTCTCATATAAATGGACCCATACAGTTCAAATCTGTGTTGTTCAAGAGTCAACTGTATTTCTTTTACAGTGCCCCACTTATATATATATGCTTGTGAAACCAGTTATCTCAAGCAAGATAGAAAATATATCTATATTGCCACATCCGCTTGTTTAACCCCTTTCTGTTGGCTCTCCTGCACCCCCTGTCCTCTGAAAATGTCTGATTTGCCTTTTGTCACTATAGATAACTTTGTACTTTGTAGTATGATCTAAAAATATAAGATCAAAAGTATGTATACTTTTTAAAATGCAGCTATTTTTAACTAACCAATTTAGGTAAATTGAAAAGGTTTTAATCAATTACTTTAATTAAGAAACCTTAATATGAAAGTAAATAGAAGATGAAACAAAAAAATCACATACTGCAATGAATTTTAAATTAAATAATTAATATAAACAAAATCAAAACATGACAATAAATACACATCACTTCTCTAGTATACAAGCACACTACAATTACATTGTTATAAAGAAGATCATCATCTATTTTTAATAGTCAAACGTAAGTAAAATGGTTTGTTTTTTCAAAGCTTAATTTATTTTTTCTAGTTTCCATTTCCTCTGATTTGAATACTGAAGAGAAATTAAACCATCTACTTTTAAAAATAAATTGCTAACATTATTCAAAAATAAATGAACACATAAACACTCAGATTTATGCATTTTTTGTTCATTGACTATGAAGACATCTAAAACATGTCTATTGAAAAATTAAATTCTCTGAAACTTAAGCATTGTTCATCTGTAGTTGTCAGACATTGGAAAGCACTATTTTCTTATACTTAATTTAAAATGTTACAACATATGCACTTGCACTTTAGTTCAAAATACTTTGGGATCAGTGTAGAGAAGGATGTATTTTAGTCTTGGTTTGCCAAAATAAGAAAGGAAACATTTATCATTTCAAAAATCTCTTAATTCACCCAATATTAATTGTTTACCTGTAGAAATGAGATTTGATGAAATTATTTTTAGAAATTTATTTTATTATTTGTTTTCATTAAAATGCCTTGTAAACTCAACAATTATGGCTTAGTTGGTATTATTTATAAAGCTTTACATGTTCAATAAACATAATTCCCTGTAAATATCTAAGCAGAAGTTGTGCCAACTCCAAAAATGATAAATAGGGTATTACCAGATAATTAAACACATTCTTAAAATTTTTAAAATACTAGGTAGAATACACAAATTCATTTATTAATGTCCACCCAAAGTAGGAGTGATAAAAAGAAAACAGAACTAGACCCCATTCTCACTCATCCCCAAAATGAGATAATATATCAAAAAAAGTCAGTAAAGGGTATATATCTGATACTATGATTTCACAGAAGCATGAATCTCAAAACACATCAAATTGAGCACTTTAAATATAGCTTACTGTGTCAATGATATATTAGCAGTACTTTTTTTTAATTTTAAAATTTTAAAATATTAATTTAAACAGTTTTCATTAAAACCACAATCTGTCACTGTTAAGAAGTATAAGAATTCTTTGTTCAATGCCAAAGGTAAAAGATAAAAAAAAATTGTTGGGATTAATATCCTAGCCATCTGATTCTAATTCCTGTTCATTTGATTATTCAAACTATTTCATTGGGTTTTTAGTTTTTCTTCTTGGTGTAGCTGGTATAATCTCTGTAATTTACTATGTTGTTAACCTGATTTCAGAAACTCATTCTTTTCATTATTCATCCAATATTTATTGTTTGTGTTAACACTGCCTTTAAAGTCTTTTCCTAGGCATGCAGATAAATATTAGACAGATAAATCTTATTAGTGGATGGAATATTTTACACACATCATAACCCCAAAAAAGGAAGACAGTTGATCCTTTCCGAAGGATGGCTAAGTGTTTACTCCAATCCCAAATTTAGAGAAATCTACATATTGTTTAATAGTGGAAGGACTGATGAGAACAATAAAAGTGTTTTGGAATTTTAGTAAACACAATGAAAATGGGTATTATATGTTATTTTCACTTTTAACAAAACTAAAAGCAATTCACATTAATGATGGAAGTCAGTGTAACTAAAGCTCTCTAGGAAGGAGAGTGTGTGTGTGTGCGCGCGTGTGTGTGTTTGTGTTTACGCGCGCATGTGATTTTATTTTCTTTGCTGAACAACTGTTTTAGATCATCTACAGTCTCTGGACTGAAGACTTTCATGATCATTTATACCAATAGGAATTTTATATTATATTTTGTATCTAAAAAGAAAAACAGATCCCTCTCTTTGATCATTTTAAAAGAGAAAAATGCATAGTTTTTCCAGTGCTCGTTAGCATTAGATAAAATATTTTAACAACTTTGAATCTATTATTCTTTGATTGACTTACTTTGAAAATAAAATGTCCAATTTAAACAGTCTAGCAGAAATTTTTCTGTCAAAGTGAAATCGAAGTGGAAGATTTTTTCTTTCGCATGGCCTATTTTGAATGCTCACACTTTGTGAATGTTGATATTATTTTTCCCTTGCCAAATATAGTGCCTTTTATCTAAAGTGGATAATACATATTAAAATTTTTAACAGCTATGTGAGTTTTAGCTAAAGCAGCCATAATGTGACAATCAAAACATGTATTGTATAATCCAGCCTTTTAAATTCATGTTCTTGTCAAACACTGGGTGACACATATGTCACATAGGCACATTTTGTTTTAAAAAATGTTTGGAGTCAGTCATCTAAACACAGGATTTGCCACGTCTAGATTTCAAGGCATCTGAAGTTGCAATCTCTGCTGACTTGAATTTGATTAACCTGTTACTGTATTTCTTTTTTCTGAATTATAATAATTAAAAGATAAAGTCACTTTTTCAAGTTTCTTCAGTAATCACTTGAAAAAGTATTTGTTCTATTTATTAAATATAGTGAATAAGGTAGCTTTTTTTGGGACATAACATTTTCCCATACTGGAGCCATTTACTAAACCTTGCCATAGGAGAAAATATCAGACTAAGATTAATTGGTACATATTAAATAAATCAGGTTTAATTTTGTATAAAGCATTGCTTCTTTAATCACTGGCAGATTTGCTACAATGCCAATTTGTGTTCAATAATTCAAAGATAGGACTTGAGATTATACATTTCTAACAAGCTCCTAGACTGGTTGGCCCTGGTCCATTCATCTCATTTTGAAGAGAAATGTTATAGAAAGCAATTCTTTTTATAAAAATATTTCTGCAGTGATACAGCCCTGCAGGATAACTGAAATATGTGTAGCTTAAAAAGTGATACAAATGGTTGTCTACTTATGTATATGTTTTTCTCTATTTGTAATGCAACTAAAAATAAAGTTGTTAAAAGGACAACTTTCCTTTGAATTTTGGAAATAATTTTTATATCTGTTTTAATAGCTTTGAATACTGATACCAGGACCCACTAGACTTCCCCAATATATAGAAAAAGTACGGGTAGAAAGGATAAGATCTATCTGCCTACTCAAGTTGTTACTTCAGAAAGAACATACATTTTGATCTGTAATATCTTATATGGTTCCTGGATAGTAGTTTGCTGTTCTGGATTCTTTTTTTCATTCCTTCAATGGTATATTAGTACCATCTAGTATTTTTATTCAAGCTATATTAGAGATCCCCCTTCCCAAAATATACCAGTTGGGGGTCTCTCACATAACTTTGGAGAATTTGGTAGAGAGTTTGCCTCTTGTACTTATGTTAAGGTGAAAAATGATCATTTGACATTGTGTATAACTCATGTCATTGACTTATTAGAAACCAATTTTTCATAGAGTCCTATGAATTAACATAGGTATAAATTGTCCTTGCTTATAGGCAGGTGCTGTATAACTTAACTTCAGAGATTCCAAACCACCAATATCTTACGAGAAATGGGGGCTCCATGTATTCATCTCTCTATATGGCATTAATCATCAAAAATTTGAGATGACTAAAAATGTCCACCTCAGTTTGCTTTGTGCTGAACTTTAATATCAACATCCTTGATATTTCCATTTATACCAAACACAATTTCAGCATGGAGAATGAGTCATGATTGTTTTCATATTACTGCTGGTGACTCAATTTTCCATCCATTTTTATAGATTTGTATATTTATACACAGTATGTTAAATACTATGTTCCTTTATTTAACTTGGTACTAGTCACCCAGCTGATAACAATCTCACTAGGGTTAGCTTTCATGACTGTTTTATTATGTAAATAAAGTATCATATATCTGGTTCTCAAAGAACGTGAACAACCAGGCTCTTAGAGATTATTATACACAAAGAAAAAAATGGAATTGTATTTCTAAGTAGATGAACTTTGTTTGCTAAGCAATTTTTTTTCATAAGCAAATGAAAGTGGGAGCAGTTACAGAAAATATCTACATCTTTAAAACATAAAATACTACTATTAAAAAAGCATCTCTTTGAAAATACAACAAATTCTCATCATTAAATAGTTTATTTAAATGAATTAAAGCTATTTCTTCAATACCTAATATACATGTTTATATGTCACAGCTAAAATGATTTTTAGTTGAAAAAAACAAGAGGCAGAGAATAAGGGTTTGGTGAAGAAAAATTGTTCTATAAATAAAAATATGGCTAACTAAGTCAGTATTAAAATACAAGCCTATTATTAAAATACTGGGTAACAAAATGAATTAACTATATATATATGTTTCAACACTTGGGTCTTTCTCATAAGCAGAGGTTGCAGGACGGAGTAAGTTGTCCTTCCTCTTGCAGAGGGTACCTTGATATGTCCCAGACCTCTAATACCTCTTTGAGGTTTTTCTTCTTTAGGTTCTTGGCTTTTAAATACACACACATGCACACACGCACACACACAAACTAGATACATTACACTATATGTAGTATATGTATAGACATACTATATATACTATATCTAACATATATACTATATGACATATATACACTATATGTAGTATATGTATAGACATTATACTATATATACTATATCTAACATATATACTATATATAACATATAGAAATACTATATATGTAAAATATATAGTATTAAGTAATAAATAGTATAGATGTATATATTAATATGTATATAATGTATATACCTGCATATATACATATATACACATATACATAGTGTATATATGCATATATTAATATGTATATATTACATGCATAATACATATATGTATATATACATTAATATGTATATACATTGTATATACATTGTATATACATTGTATATACATATATACACATATACATAATGTATATGTGTATATATCAATTTTGTATGTATTGCATATATAGTATTTAATATTTAATACTATATATTTTACATATATAGTATTTACACATATAAATACATATATACACACACATATATATACATATATGTATGTATACACACACATATACATATATGTATGTATACACACACATATACATATATGTATGTATACACACACATATACATATATGTATGTATACACACACATATACATATATGTATGTATACACACACATATACATATATGTATGTATACACACACATACATATATGTATGTATACACACACATATACATATATGTATGTATACACACACATATACATATATGTATGTATACACACACATATACATATATGTATGTATACACACACATATACATATATGTATGTATACACACACACATATATGTATGTATACACACACATATACATATATGTATGTATACACACACATACATATATGTATGTATACACACACATATACATATATGTATGTATACACACATATATACATATATGTATGTATACACACATATATATACATATATGTGTGTATACACACATATATATACATATATGTGTGTATACACACACATATCAACATGTAGGTATCGATTACTAAAATAAGGTCTTAGTATTCAATGACATGCCAGCCTGTGAATGCAAATAATGCAAAATCATACACTATATAGTTACACAGTCTGATCATAGATAAGGGTCATAAGTACTTGCCTTGACTTTCATTTGTGTATTTTGTTTTCAAAAGCACATAGCAAGAAACCCTCTGCAAGAGGAAGGACAACTTACTCCACCCTGTAGCCTCTGCCTATGAGAAGGAGGCAAGTGATGAAGTATTGATGGTACCAATAGTTGGATAAGCAACTAAATCAGACCCTGTGACACCTACTCGTACTTATTTGTCAACTCTTGTAGACTAGAACTGTAGCTTTATGGGCTCTTACTTATAATAACCTGTAGGCCAATTTTACCAAAAAAAATGGCTTTAGTTACACATAGTTGCACACATTATTCTGCTATTCACTCGAGTGAATAACCAAGGAATTACAGCTCCACTCAATAGTAGCCCTGCAGGACTGCAGGAAAGGAGCATCTTCCCAGTGTGCAAGACTTCAATCAATGCAGCAGGAAAGAAAACTAGACAAATGCATGAACCTACACTGAATCATTAGTAATGAGAAATTGTGTTCTAGTCAGAAACTTAGAAGGCATACGATCAGAAAACTGGTTACAGAGAGTCCTGCAAAATAGATAATGTTAATAAAACTCTAAATGATCAGGAAAGTGAAGATATCTATGTCCCTGAACAAATTAAATGTATCCCAAATGTGTAAAAATGTAGGAAAAGCAATACATTTCTGTAATTTAAAAAAAAAATAAATTTAGGACGGTAATCATTATAATAATAAAATACCTATTAAAATAAATCTTCAGAAAACTCCGTAATGAGTTCATGTGAGATAAAAAAATCTAAATAATATTTTCCATTTAAACATCAATAATATTTAGTACATTATTAATACCTAGGAACAAACAATAAATTATTATCATCTATGTGTATGTGAGGATAATTGGGAACTAAACATGAAAATAATGTTAATATATTCAAATCTCAATTATGTACTAAATTTAGGTCAATTTTTCACATTAGGTGCCTCTTAAGACTGTATTTTAGCCTTTTGCTTCCATGTTTATTAACTATTTTTATAGTGCATACTCAATGTAAGGATTAATATTAATATAGACATATAGTTGTAAATCTAGGATTTAAAATAAATCAGAATATGGCTTTTGTTTTAGTAGAATTAGTATACTTTGTAGGAGTTTCTCATCGTTCCTTGTTACTCCCTTTAAAAAGAGAAGAATATTGCTCAATACTTGAAATAAAACAGTTAAATTACTTTGAACAGAGTGTAAAACCAAGCATTTATATAAAATTCATCAATATTTTACTTGCACTTGCACATTGCTCTGACCTCAGATATCCTTAAATGCCATCTTGACTTCAGTTAGGTCTTTACTCAAAGCTCACTTTTTCCAAGAAGGATTTTTCTGACCATTCAAAAATTTTATGCCTGTCTCAATTTCAACTATTTGTATTCCCTTTCCTTTATTTATGTTAATATATCATGAAAGTTAATTGCATAGGTTATGTCAAGCTTTTTTTAAAAATATGACTGCTATAAAGAAAATATTTGTTTTTCTCTTTTTTTATTTTTTTAGGTATTTTTGTTGTAACATCTAAGATTCAATATCTACTCAGTAGTAGGTATCTCTTGATGGATAAACAGATGAGATAATAAATAAATACACAAGTGAAATTTAATGTCATTTTAGGTGCATATAAGGTAAGCTTACCTAATATTTTAAAAAGATTGACTCATTTTTTATCAAATTAAAATATAAGAATATATAGCATTACGAACAACTCTAGCAAATTATTTTATAAGAATTCAAAACGTGGTCCCCCAACTTATCAGACTATTTTATTTCATCAAAATTCAAATAAATTGAAGATACATCAACAAATTATTATATTTCACAAGTTTTAGTTTTATAAGATGTCATTGCTTAGAAGAGAGCACATAAGATTTTTCATTTCTTTAGTTTATCAGCAATTGGAAATCAACCTTAGAAAGTTGGACATACTTTTAAGAACCTGGTAATTGATTGCTGATAAAACCTTTTCAATCTGAGAATAGCTACATGCATGCACTCGTGGACATACATACACACCCCAGCACACATACGTTAGACATATTTTATGTAGGAGTATATTTTTGACTGAATTAGAATCTTCTATTAAGAATTAAAGTACCCATCATATTTACCTATGACTCTTTATGTCACCCTGTATCCTCGTTAATGTAAAGCAATATTACTTATCTTTGTATAGGATACATCTAACTTGTCACATTAAATAAAGCAGATTTCAAAGAAAATAGTAAAGTGTCCTTCAAAGTAGAAACCTAATAAAGTTGAAGGGGTGTGCAATGCTGAAGACTTTAAAAAAAAAACACTGATTTCAATTAATACATTTTGATAACAATTACCAAACAATACATTTTTGCTAAGTGACAATAATTATTTATGTAAAACTGTAAATAATAATATTTTATAACTGTATGAGTATATATAATTATCATGTATGTGATATATGATATAATAATTTTTACAATAGCCCTGTAAACTATATGGGCTGTTGTAACAAATTATTATAAAAACAGCAGCTTAAGCAACAGAAATTTTTTCCGTCCCAGTTCCAGAAGCCAGAAGTGTGAAGTCGAAGTGTTGGGAGGGCCACACTCCCCATGGAGGCTCTTGGGGAGAATAATTACCTTGTATTTCCCAGCTTCTGGTAGATTCGGTCATTCCTTGGGGTTTGGGGTTGTATTATACCAATCTCTGCCTCCATCTTCACATGACCTGCTTCACTTCTGTACATCTAATTTCTCTGCCTCTCTTATGAGGATATTTATGATGGCATTTAGGTCCCACCTGAGTTATTTAAAATAATCTCCTCATTTCAAAATCCTTAACTTGGCCGGGCGCGGTGGCTCACGCTTGTAATCCCAGCACTTTGGGAGACCAGGGCGGGCGGATCACGAGGCCAGGAGATCGAGACCATCCTGGATAACAAGGTGAAACCCCGTCTCTACTAAAAATACAAAAAATTAGCCGGGCGTGGTTGCAGATGCCTGTAGTCCCAGCTACTCGGGAGGCTGAGGCAGGAGAATGGCGTGAACCCGGGAGGCGGAGCTTGCAGTGAGCCGAGATCGAGATCGCCACTGCACTCCAGCCTGGGCAAGAGAGAGCGAGACTCCGTCTCAAAACAAAACAAAACAATCCTTAACTTAATCATGTCTGCAAAATGGAATGACCCTTCTTCCAAATACGGTAGCAATCACAAGTACAAGGAATTTGAAATTGGCATCTTTGCTGAGGGGAATACATGTGTCAGCTTATTACTACATACACAACACACACACACACACACACACACACACAACACATACCACTATATGGAAAATTTGGAGAGAAAAAATAAATATGTTTAGCCAAGATTGTGCAAAGCCGTATCTATCCAGAGCTCCATTCTAAACAAATATAAACAGTTATTCCCACCACATTCTCTTTCTTTCCTCTTCTCTCGACCTCTTTCTCTTTTTCCTTTCCTCTTTCCTATTCCTTTTTCCCTTTTCTTATTCATTCTTTATCTGATTCCCTTCACTTTTTACCATGTTTTCCTCACAAATCCCCTTTATTGTTCTTTATATTGAAATATCAATCCCAATACCATGAAGCGGGACGGAGCAAAGTAGGCATGTTTGTGAAAAGGTGAATTGGCATGGAAAGGGGTCGGAGGCCAAATTAGGTGAAAAAGACACTCAAATGAAAGCAAGGCCTGCCTACCATAGAGTGTCAGAGCCTGGGCTGAATCACGAGAGTCTACATCCTGGGCAAGGCCTGGTATGGAGTTTCAGAACCCAAGCATGTTGAGGTGATTGCTGGCAGAGGTCGTCTGCCTTGGGCTCTGAGCATGATGGCGCATTCTTTCTGAGCACTCCAGACCGCAATCCTTATCCGTTTCCTGATAATGAGTAGTTTCTGTAGCGATTGAGATTGGACCACGTAAGTCAGGCAAGTCAGAGCCTAACTACCTTCTAAATACCGCTCAGACGAGGTCTTGCTTATTTGCTGCTCTCTACAGTGTTTGATGCTTATGCAATTAGGGCTGTTCTCTCAACCCTTGTTCCTCTGCTATATGGTCATCTATCACATGTGCATTTTTAAAATCCTTCCCGCCCCGCAAGTTACCTGTGGGAATTAGGGCTTGGAAAACTAGAGTGTATAACCTGGCACTCTAGCTATTGGTCTAGCTATATTTCAAAAGTCTTTTATCTCAGATTCAGTTTCCATACATGAGTTGCCCTGTCATGAGGTATCAAAATCCACACTTCATGAGGAGGAATCTACACAGAAGTGGTGTCTGATAGGGCATGAGAGAATGAGAAGGATGTCCATGAGGGCAAAAGTCATAGCACAGAGTTTTGATGTACTCACAGGTCGACTGCATCCAAGTGGCAGGGAGGCAGAAAACAGATAATTCATTGCATGTATTAGACCATTCTTGCATCATCATAAAGAACTACCTGAAGCTGGATAATTTATAAAGAAAATAGGTTTAATTGGTTCACAGTTCTGTAGGCTGTACAAGAAGCACAGTGCTGGCATCTGCTCTAAGGACGCCTCAGGAATCTTCCAATCATGGCAGAAAACAAAGTGGGAGCAGGCATGTCACATGGTGAAAATAGAAGTTAGAGAGAAAGAATGGGGTGGGAGGTGCCACATGCTTTTAAATGACCAGATCTAATGAGAAATCAGTATCAGGAAGATAGCACAGAGCCATGAGGGACCTGCCTCCATAATCCGAACACCTCTTGCCAGGCCCCACCTCCAACATTGGGGATTACATTTCTACATGAGATTTGGGGAGGGACAAATATCCAAACTATATCAATGGGGGTGTTGGCAATGGCCCAAGTGTGTATCAGAGTCCTAGTAAACAAATTACCTTGCACAAAATAATTAATGTGGGGATAAAAAGTAACTTTTTATTGTGGAAGCATCACAGACATTAATCAAGCATTCAAAGTGTTTGACATTAATAATTGAATAAATTGAAATTGTGTCTTTTGTAGTAGTATGTAGACATAGAAACACAGCGCCATGCCTGTCATATTCCAAAGATGTATAATTTGTATTAATCATGAACTGAACAACCATCTGACAAACATTTTGTTTAGTTCATGCTGCTAAATAATTGTTCTGTACAATTTAAATGTGACAAGATTGAATCTTCAAAAAAGTCAGAAGAACTGGTCTAGAATAAAGTGAACTAAGAGACATAACAACAAAACGCAACATACAGTTTTGAACTATATTATTTTTCTATTAAGAGCATCCTTAGGATGATTGGTGAAACCTTAAGGGTAACTTTGGATTAAAGGGTAATAATGCATCAATGTTAATTTCCCGAATGTTATTGTCTGTATTATGGTTTTATAGGAGAGTGTAATTTAGGAGGTTTTATAGGCAAATACTAGTCAGAGTAGCTTCAATATGCCGGAGATTGTATTGCTCACTGAGTTAGGGATGAAGCAATCAACATACTTCTTCAAATAATTGGTTAAATACTATGTTTTGGGAATATTTTTTGGAAAATGCTCATACTTTAAAGAGATATTTAAAATCTATTTTTTAAAAAACATAGTGAATCCAGGAGAAGATGTTGCATACTAAAGCACAATAAGCAGAAAACGTTAGGTAGCAAGAATTTTTAAACAGTAAATTTGTAAGATGGAAAAGAAAGAAATGGAAAAAATAAGATTCTTTCCACATTTATAAATATTTATTATAAAATATTGTGTTATGCAGTATTATGTTTCAAGAGAAATGCGAATTCTGTCTGGGATATGACTGAACATATCCAGTGGGAGTCATTCTAGGTCTCTATTTTGAGCTTTGCCATCTTACTAGGACTGAGTCACAAATGACTCTGGCTTCTTGTTCTTGTTGTTTCCTCCTACATTTTTCTCTTTATTTATCAGTTGAAACCTTTCTCTTATGAGTTATTTTCAATTATATCAACCTACTAGTAACTTAACTCAGCTCATCTGCATTACTGGTTAGCTAGAATAACCTGCATCACATGAAATTGTTTTAAATTGCCAGCTTTCGAAGAAATTAATTTAATATTATAGGTTATTATTATTTTACTCATATTAATTTGTACTTTTCTCTAAAGAATATGTTGGTATGAAAATCCATCCAAAGGAATATATTCTAGTTGAGAAATCATGTATGTATTTTCTTTTCAATGTAAAATTATATTTTAAAAGATAGCTCATCAAAAAATACAAAATGACTGAGTCATAGAAAATTTTGCTTTTTGTGTTTAATAAACTGAAAATTTGAGATCCTTACAGACAGACCTCATGTAAGAAAAAAAATCTGATCAAATAAGAAAAATAAACACATTTTACATTCAGATACATATTTAAGTTTATTTTTAGTATAGATGCAAGGATACTCAAGGACTCGAATACCACCTGCCTAATGTAAAAAAGGTATTGAGTATATTGTAAATGGCAATGAACTGCAAGAAAGATATATAATAAATCTAAATGTATAATTTCTTTTTAATATACTGCAAATTATTTTTATTTATTCCATATGTCATTTCAGTTGGATGTGATGTAGAAGACATTCAGTCAATAATATTGAATAGTATGTTAATTAATGAATAAACATAGTTACTACCTGACAAATATATTTCTATATGGGTTATTTTGACAGCTTAGGATCTGAGTAAATTATCGGAGGATCTAAAAATACTTCCTAAATTTTGTTACCAGAAGTTAAAACTATGAATTAAGAGTGTGATAATAGGTGATGTTTGAAATACGCCAAAGTGCTTATATTATGGTTGTCTGTAAGAAGTTTGCAAATTATTTTAGTAAGATTGTAAGACTATCCCAGGTTTGTTTAAAGTATAAAAATATATGTGCTATATTAGAAAAGAATCTAAGATTAATCAACCTATGTGTGATATTGAAAAGACTCAAAATGAATTCAAAGAAAAGAGAAAGAAAATGTGAAATTGTTATTCAGTTAGATGTTGCAATATTCACCTCACTTTAAATCCACTTCCCACATGAGTCATTTTCAACAATTAAAGAGATTATGACAGGAGGGAGACTGGTTTAACAACAATCTGTCTTCAGTAACACAGTACTTTTTTTTACATTGAGAAAAAGATCATCCAGGGAGATGATAACTGCGCTTAGGGCAGTTTGGGAAATACAAATGAGACATTTGGGATTGTGAGAAAGTAAAAAAGTTCCCCCAAAACAAATTGTCCCCCAGTGAAAAATTGAGTTACTTGTTACATTTGGTTTTGACTAGGAGAAACTGGCCTTGACATCTGCTATTTTACTGAGCTTATTATTACTCCAGATGGCAACTTCAAACTGTTCTCTAATGTTTCACTTCTGAAGAATAACAACATTTTGCCTTTTGACTACAAGACCCTTACCTTCATGCCAATGTCTCCATTTTACTTTGTTTCTTAAAATATTTTATCAATCAGAGTTAATGACACACTTACAACAGGAACATTAATATGGTTTTTATTAAATTATATAAATAAACTTAGAAAGTAGCCATTGCTTAAAATGCTAAGAAAAAACGTTTTGCTAAAAATGGAATCACACATTTCGCCTCTTCTAATAAAATAAATAAGGTATCTCCCACCAAGTAAAAGAAAATAAGACAGAATTTAGGAGGTGGCTAATACGCAAAGTATAGTTATGAAAAATGGTTCCTAAATGCAGGAAAAGTCAAATAAGGCATCAGGAAGGTGATCTTCTGTAACCAACTGCCCAATGGGTTCACCTTGCATAGACAGAGCCGGCTTACCAATACAGGGAAATTGCAATAGAGAAAGAGTAATTAACACAGAGCCGGCTGTGCAGGAGATGTTTTGTTATTACTGAAATCAGTCTCCTTGAGCATTCAGGGAGCAGAGTTTTTAAGGACAACGTGATGGGCTGGGGGAAGTCAGAGAGGCAAGAGTGCTGGTTGGTCAAAAATGAAATCATAGGGAGTGGAAGCTGTCTTATTGCACTGTCACTTCCTGGGTGGGGGCCACAAGATCAGATGAGCCAGTTTATCAATCTGGATGGTGCCAGCTGATCAATCAAATGAAAGATCTGCAAAATAGCTCAAGCACTGATGTTAGGAGCAGTTTAGGGGGATCAGAATCTTGCAGCCTCCAGCTGCGTGACTCCTAAACCATAATTTCTAATCTTCTAAGAGAAGATAAGTAAATTGGGTGTGTTCTGTGAGATACCTAGATTTTTTGCATAACGGCAGTTTCCAGACTGAAGCACATTATTTGGGAACCTGAGGACAGTCCAGTAGTCTTGCTGAGAAGAGGAAAGAGGAATAAGAAATAAGAGAGGCCAAGATAACAGAAATCTGTGAATTCAAGTGTCAGAGGTAAGCAGAAAAAACCCAGTGAAAGAGTTCCAAAAATGTACAAATGTAATTCACTGAAATATTTGAAAGAATATTAATCTGAACATAAATAGAGTAAAACTCTGTTAGGTCAGGCATCGAAACAGTGCTTGGTAGTGACTTGTTTGATTATTTTAGAGAGTTCATGCAGACCTGGTGATGTGGTTTGGCTGTGTCTGCACCCAAATCTCATCTTGAATTGTGCCATAATTTCCATGTGTCATGAGAGGGACCAGGTAGGAGGTAAGTGAATCAGGGGGTGAGTCTTTCTTGTGATAGTAAATGCCTCATGAGATCTGATGGTTTTATAAAGGGGGGTGCCCTACACAAGCTCTCTTGCCTGCTGCCATGTAAAACAAGACTTTGCTCCTCATTCGCCTTCTGCCATGATTGTGAGGCCTCCCCTGCCACGTGGAATAGTGAGTCAGTTAAATCTCTTTCCTTTTAAATTACCCAGTCTCAGATATGTCTTTATGAACAGTGTGAGAACAGACTAATGCACCTGGAAACCATTCAATTTTCTACCAGTGAATGTGGAGAAATTTTATTTAATACTTGTGACATTGAGCAGAGATCCCAGAAATATTATGCCTTAGAAGTAGGTCAAATAGGAATATAAAGTCTATGCTGTATCAATAAAGCTTATAAATAACACTTGAGTGGGTCAAATTTATTCAGAAATGACTTAAATGTCTGCCAAACAAATTTCAAAATCTCCCACAGAAAAATGATAAAGTGCTAATATAGCAGCATAATATATGTGGCATCCTATCAGAAATTCCTTGACATATGAAGCAGGAAAATTCCTTTGACATCTGACAAATAACTAGGAAATAAATCATATCATAGAAACAAACCAATACATGTGAGGAATTTTAGAATTAGCCAGCAAAGATTAATAAAGTTACAATAAATATTTTTAGAATAAAAATTAAAAATAACAAAAAATGTAATATGGCAAAAAAATGAAAGATTAAAAAAAATAAGTTCTTAATTTAAAAATATATCCTCAAACTTCTAGTTTTGCATTCAGCAGGAAAGAAGATTAGAAGTCCCACTCCATGCCAACAAATAAAAAGCTGGAAAAATGGGAAAGTGAAAAACAATCCTTAGATTGAACAGAAAAGTTAAGTCCCAGGGAAAATCAGTGCTCCCAAACTTCGAGAGACAGACAAACAGATAATCACATTGGATATTTCACAACAGATACATATATCAAAATATTACAACATACACTTTAAATATATATAATTTTATTTGTCTATTATTGTCAACATATATAGGGGAAGGAAAATAACAACTGTCTTTGAGGATATGGAGAAATTAGGACTAACATATACTGCTGATAGGAATATAAGATAGTATAGCCACTTTGAAAAACATTGTTTTTTGAAAGTTAATATTTTTCATAGGACTCATGGCAAGGAAAATGAAAACACACTTCCATATAAAGACTTGTGCAAAGATAGTCACCAAAGCATTGATAATAATAGCCAAAAAGTAGATGCATTTCAAATATTCAAAAACTGATAAATGGGATAAACCATTATATATAGATATAAACATGAAATATGTTAATATATATAAACATGAAATATGTTATATAACATGGCTAAAACATTCAGTAAACCATGTTGTAAACAGATGTGCTGTCATCTGGGCTTTGTAGTTCCATTTATAGAGCACAGACAGAATAGATTTAGTGTAATTCTTAAGGGTCTAGGAATTTTTAAATGGGAAATGGGCATTGGCTCCAACCAGCTGCACCAACTACTAATGGGAGAGTAAGCCTGTCCTTTGAAGCTCTAAAGCCAAGCATTGATTTCTCCTCTCTAGTTATGAAAGCCCTAGTTGACACTTTCTTCCAATAGAAGGCTGTTTGGTCTACATTGAAAATCTGTAGTGACTTTCATCAGTTATCTTAGCTGGTTTTCCTAGATAACTTGCTGTAAAGCTGCTACATCAGCACTTGCTGTTTCACCTTCTGCTGTTATGTTATAGAGATGGTTTCTTTTCTTCAATTCTATGAACCAACATCTACTAACTTGAGACTTTTCCTCTGAAGCCTCCTCACTTTCCTCAGTCTTCATAGAATTGAAGAATGTTAGACCTTGCTTTGGGTTAGGCTTCAAATTCAGAGAATGTTGTGGCTGGTTTGATCTTCTATTCAGACAACTAAAACCTTCTCCATATTAGCAATGACTGTTTTGGTTTCTTATCATTCATATGTTCACTGAATTAGCACTTTCAATTTCCTTCAAAAACTTTTTCTTTATATTCATAACTTGGCTAATTGTTTTGTGCAAGAGGCTTAGCTTTCAACCTATCTTGGCTTTCAACATACCTGTCTCACTAAGATTAATCATTTCTAGCTTTTGTTTTAAAGTAAAAAACATCTAAACTTTCCTGTCCCTTGAACAGTTAAAGAACCTTGTAGGATTATTAATTGACGTAATTTTAATATTGTTTTGTCTTAGGAAAAAGAAGGCCAGAGGAGAAGTAAAAAACAGGGAAAGGCCAGTCTATGGAGCAGTAAGAATACACACAACATTCATCGATTAAGGTTGTCATCTTACACTGTGCCCCAAAACACCATATAATTTTGTGATGTCCCAGAACAATTACAATAGTAACAATCTAGAGCACTGATCACAAATCATCCTAAAAGATACAATAATAATAAAAATGTTTGAAATATTGTGAATATTATGTGACACAGACACAAGGTGAGCACATGCTGTCAAAAAAAAATGGTGCCATAAACTTGCTTGACACAAGGTTGCACAAACCTTCAATTTGTAAAAAAAATGTAATACCTGAGAAGCACAATAAAGCAAAATGCAGTAAAACATGGTATGTCTGTACATCCTTTAACAGCACAGGACAGAGGAATGAGTTTTCTGAGAAACAACAAAATTAAACAAACCATGATTTTTATATTTCAGGTAATGGAACTTTTTTTTTTTTTTCGAGACAGAGTCTTGCTCTGTCACCCAGGCTGGAGTGCAGTGGCGTGATGTTGGCTCAGAGCAACCTCCGCCTCCCAGGCTCAAGTGATTTTTCCACCTCAGCCTCCCAAGTGCAAGCCACCACAGTCATCTAATTTTGTTGTATTTTTTGTAGAGATGGGGTTTCACCATGTTGCTGAGGCTAGTCTTCTGTTCTCAAGCGATCTGCCCGCCTCGGCCTCCCAAAGTGCTGGGGTCACAGGTGTGAGCCACTGCACTGAACAAGTAATGGATCTTACTAGAAGAGTACATCATTTAATGAGTTAAAATCAAGATTCAAAACTATTTCACCTGTTTTTATAAAATATATAAGAAATAATACAAATATTTTCTTCATTTTGTACTCAAAGAAGTGACTGAGGACGAAGTGGATTATTTTATAGGTATTCCAAATCAAATTCAGTTTGAGTTAAATCTGTAAGAATTACTACATCTGAGTAATTTTTACATAATTGGAACATTTTGACATAACTATTTTAAGACATTATTTTCAATTTATATGTATGTCTAAACATGTAATAACCTGTTATTATGGTGAGTAAACTAAGTACTCTTTGAGGAAATATAATTATCTAGTGTGAATGTGAGCCTGTGTATGTATGTGTGTGAGTGGTAGTGAAGGGAATGATGTCCACTGAAGAGGAAATAACTTCTCTCTGGAAAAGTATATGGAGAGAAAAAATTGTACTTTTACTCCTTTGATAACATACTCATTGTATGTTTCATTATTCAAACACTGACACTAACATCAGCTCTGCTACATGTTTTTAAGTCTTTAATGCATTACTTCCTTCCACTTTCCCATCTTGCTTATTTTATTTTTTCCTCAAACCTGTAACCTAGGCCGTCTTACTAATATTGTTTTTGTTTTATTATTTTATTTTTTAAGTTTTTAATTTATTTTAATTAATTCATTGTTTAGTTTTCTGCAATATCATTCTGACTTTGTTAATGTTGCTATTTCCAGGTCAATCAAAAAAGCTGACTGAAGCTCACCGACCTGGAACTCTTCTGCTTACTTCTTCATTTATTTGCCTTCTCCACCCTTCTCTGTTAAAAGAGACTGACCTGTTGGAGCTACCAGAAAGTCAAAGGGAGAGAGAACAGTGACTAGAGAACTATTATTCCCACAGTTCTCTCTGTTGCTTTATCTTTTCCTGGCTGTTGACGCCACCACTCAAGGTGGTTCTCTCCATTGAATTCTTTCCTTCCAGGTTCTGGTAACTACAATTGCACATCCCTGTTCAGGCTAACAGAACGTGTTATTATTGGCTCTAGTGTACTGTGATATATCTTTTAGAGAATTTTAATTTCAAAGTAGTCCCTTTATTAACACTTTCTTAAATTATACTAATTTTAGTTCACAGTGGGAACCAATCTGATACATTTATCATAGAAATTGATCTAATACACTGAGGCTTATATGAGAGTTTTGAAGAAAGATGATTTTATCCACATCCTGGCTAAACTATAGAGAAAAAATGCACAATCTAATATCAATGACTTAACGTCATAGTGTCTGGTTTGGATTATATGTCCATTATAGGTTGCCAAGTGGACTTTATCAATATATCTAAGGAACACCATAAGCTCCATAGAAATACAACTCTAGCATTTCAGAGTCAAGAAAAAAAAAGATTTTTAAAAATCATTGTCAGTGGTTTAAGTTCTGCCCAGAAGGTCATTTTTCTTATGTTTTTCTGGCATATAAGTCACATAGTTTAACCTGACCTTATAATATGGCATTTTTCAAGATGGGACCCATATATGGTTGAACACCAATGCATTCTGTCATTCTGGCCATCAAATATTTGGTTTCCTCCTCACCCATGTATGAAACATTTTTACCCAATCCCAAATTTCCCACCTAATCAGCATATCTAGCACTAGGCCCAAGATCCCATTGTGTTTTGTGATTTCTTCTATGTCAGATGTACATGGCTTCTTTTGCTCTGGACAACTGAAAACTAAAAGAAAAGAGCAATAGTTATTGTCCTTCATCACACAAATGTGCAATATAAAAATGAGATAACTGAGCAGAAACATTACATATGTATACATATACACACACACACATATGATATTTAAGAGATAAAATAGGAGGGAGGCTTATGCGTCTTTGTTAAATAAGATTCTAAAACCTCACTGGATATGTATTAAAAGGAATATGGTTCTTAGAGGAGCAAATGTTCTTTGTCAGACACTTATTTCACTCTCCTTGTCATCATTTATCATCGTTCTTCTTGATCTTTGGTTCTGTCTTCTGTAAGATCTTTTTTATTTCTGTTACACTTGATTACATCAGATGGAAGTTACTTTGAATGGAGGTCCCACTGGGACTTATTCTAGAAATTTAAAAGAAAACTTTTTTAATAGTAACATTCTTTTAAATTTTTTGCTCAGCATGTTTCACTTAAAAATAAAACGGTGTTAAAGATGTGTGTGTATATATGTATACACACACACACATTTATATGTGTATATATGAAAAGTAATTAAGAAAATGTCTATGTAAATGCATGATGTTTCCTTACTATTATCCTACCATAAAAGACATTTCAGGAAAGAAATAGAATAGTCACAAAGTATAGGACAAAACAGATTATAAGAATACAAAGGAGTCAAAATTAAATGTAGTATAAATTAATTATTTTATTAGTTTAAAATGAATCTTGTCAATTAAACTATTATCTTAGCGATTAAGAGATTTCATACCATATAGCCAATAAAACTAGATGTATGGTTCTGCTGGGAATTAAGTAATTGGGTATGTTTTTATGCCTCATTATTAATGACCTCATATGCTATTTTAGGCCAGTGCCTACTTACTAATTTGAATAATTCTGTTTTTATGATAGCCTCAGTACTATATACTTCTAGTATAATATATAGTACTTACTATATATTAAGCCTCTGGAATTATTTCCCACTGGAATCATTTAAATTTATAGAAAATTATTAAAGATGTAAAATTATTAGCATGCTAATAAAAGTGTTAAATAGGGGTAGTCTCACCAAAAGTAATAAGTACTTTTGGACAGTCAACAATTTAAACTCAAAATTAAAAGTATAATCACAGATTTTCAAACCTACTTTCCATTTTATTATCTAAATGAAAGACATCTAGAAATTGAAGATAATGTATTTTAAGAGTTTCATAGAAAACATTAAAATTTAATGTCACATGTAATAAGATTTGGTGTCATAAATACTAAATATAGATAATTATGTTTAAGGAATACAGCTATGAAATAAACAAATTAAGTATGTAATCAGAATAATGATTATTTGTATCAAATATTATTATTTATTTATTTATTTATTTTGAGACAGGCTGTCACTCTGCCGCCCAGGATGGAGTGCAGTGGCACGATCTCAGCTCACCGCAAACTTGGCCTTCTGGGCTCAAGCAATTCTCCTGCCTCAGCCCTCCCAACTCCAAGTAGCTGGGATTACAGGCACAAGCCACCAGGCCTAGCTAATGTTTTTTGTATTTTTTGTAGAGACAGGGTTTCACTATGTTGCCCTGGCTGGGCTCAAACTCCTGAGATCTAGCAATACACCCGCCTCAGCCTCCCAAAGTGCTAGAATTACAGGTGTGAGCCACCTCACTTGGCCTTTATCAAATTTTAGAGACAATCATGATATTTGTCCAATCTATACACTTATTACAAATGTGCTCATATGGTATGGTGACATTGCAAATGACTGTTTCGTCTTATTTAACATTAACTTAAATATCTTAAGAAACTGAACAACAAATTCCAATTTTATGTTCAAGTGTATTAATGTGATAACTACTCACACAGTGAACTCTTGAAAGTTCCTTGACTAAATATTTTAAAATTCAAAACTTCTCTCAGAATAAATGAGAGTTTTCTTGTTCATGATCTCTACTCAGGGCTGGCTTCTTGGCCATGCAACCTGTGCAGTCTCACAGGGTCCTAGGTTTAGAAGGTCCTCATACTTGGCTTTTCCATGGATGTTGTGAAATTATTTTTGAACAAGGAAGCCCACATTTCCATTTTGTCCTAGAACCCACAAATTGTGTAGACTGTCCTGCTGTTATCTATTTTTTTCATATAGAAATAATTATTTGGTAATATGCCTTATATTTTCTGCTTAAAAAATTAATTTAAAAAAATGAAGGAAAATATGTGAAAATAACCCAAAACTAATACAAGATATGGAAGATAACCATTGCTCTTATTACTAAAATTTGTATTAAAGATGCGGCCTTCCTATCACAAAGACCGTTTTGAGTTGCTTCATGGAAAAAGCCATTAAATAAATGGCTAGGAGACAGCCAAAGATGAGGCCGTATAATAAAAGGATGAGAACCTCAAGTATAAAGGTTTATCTAGAAAAAATATTTGGCTATAGTTACTCAGCAAGAAAATTTATTTGAAGTAATTAATCCATCAGGTTGTTAAGATAAGAGTTTGTTGGGTTATCTTGCCAAAGAAACTCCTTACAACATGTAATGATTTCAATCCCATAAACTCTAAACTGAATAAAACAGAAGAAGAACTATAAAAATTCAATCCTCTAGGAAGACTATCTTCCCGACATCTAACACAGAAGCGGCCAAGAAGACTAATGGGCAAGACTTCCCAGAAGATAGAACCAAAGGACACGGTGGGTGATAGTAAGGGCAATCCTCTCAGATTGCAGAAACAGTGCTGGCTGTTTGACTTAATTTGTTAACCAAGGGCAAGAAAGTTATACATATTGCAGGGTTTTTTTTTCAGTTGAATTATATATATATTTTCCTATAAGAAAATAACACCAAAAAATAGCAAATCAAACACACAAATAAGTAAGTTAATGAAAGAATTGCAAAACACACTGAAAATAGAAGAAAAAAATGTAAGTTAGGAGTAGCAATTAATGAAATACAGATTAAACATTTATCTGTATTTACGAAATACAGGTAACAAAGATGGAGAAGAATAAAGAAGTCAATGTCAATTAATTGATAGGATGAAATTTTATAACATAATTGTTACATAGTAATAGCCGATAAGCCAATTATAAATTCTGGTATTAAGAATTATCAATTTAGAATTAAAACCGGTTTTGTTTAGGGGGTTCAACACCTGTCACTGTAGCTCTTATTATTCTCTTTCAATTATCTATCTATGTATCTATCTATCTATCCATCCACATATACATGACAGATATATAATCTATTTATTTCTATATGATCTAGATAGATATATCCATTTATAATCTATATACACATATATTGTAGATAAATTTTAAATTTAACCTATCAATTTATAATACATACAGATCATTATAAATGTACATAGGTAATATATAATTATGTATTTTATATCAATTATATATACATTTTGTTATATAATTATAAATAATATATTTTATATATTGTTCTTAAATCTACATGGAAAGAGACTGTGTCTGTGAGAGAAAGGGTGATTAATTGAAAAAGATAAAATGATCTTTATAAATACATCTTCATAAAATTATATTCAAGGATTTTTTTTTCTATTCTGTCCATAATGGTGACATGTGATTAATGAAGTTCAATGCAAAACTTTCTATTTTAAAGCTAATTTTTTTATGACAGGGAAACATTATTAATTGCCAAAAGATTTTCTACAATATAGCTTTCTAATATCATCTAAAAGATCATCCACTGTATTCTTCAGTATTGTGAAGGCCATACCAACTACAAAGACCAAGGTTTTGATGAAAATCTACACTGGCAACATGAAGCAAAAATTATTAGTGGAATTAAATTATTAAGTGTATATCAATGATTTGAAAAAAATCTCAACTTCCCCATCTCATAAGTAAACAATATAAATCTATAAAAAATATAAATATCATAAACTCTGACTGGTACATCAGGCAAATATGACATAATCTTCCTTTGTTTCCCAACCCACAGGACTGGTTTAAGCAAATAATGATGCTCATGGTGTAAACTCTGTGGTCGAGTAATATTATTTAAAAAATGTTATAACTGTAGATTGTCTCCTGGAGATTGTTGGAATGAACTCTCCTGATATCTGTGTCCTTGAAATCCCTGCCACTTGGATTGAGGCACATCTGCTATTCTTGCATATTGATTTTAACTATTTTAAGTAACATGTTTTTAAAACTTTTCTTCATACTCATCCTTAACAGATTTTTTTCCTTTAACTCCTATGGGCGATAAGTGCAAACTTTTTTGGTTATTTCAAGACTATTAAATTTCATCTAGATTAAATATAGACCAAAAGATGATATTATGTGATTTTCCTAGAACATAAGACATATGACACATAAGATTTTCATGCAACTTTCCCTGAATTTCTAAGCTCTTTTTTTCTATAAGTGTCTGCATTTTAATTTAAGCATATGTTTGCAAACACTTGGTTCTGTTTAAGATGCATGATTTCAAATGCATAGCTATATATTTATTTATACTTAAATATGTTAGTTTCAAAGATGATCATCAATGATCTATGCCTCCTTGAACTCATAATTAATAAGGGACAATTTCTAGGGCAGAAAGAATATTGTTCAAGTAATACCAGGTCATAAAAGACACTGCTGCTTCACTCTTGCTTTTCTGGATCACAGAATCTAATGTCATGATTATATTTTGATCAACTTGTAATGAGGCTCACTTAGGAAATAACTGAGATCTCTGTTAATAACAAGTACACAATGCTGTCCATGTGTGAGACACCTTAAAAGCAGCATCAGTTTACTAAAGCCGCAGGTGACACTGAAGCACAACTCCCAAAAAAACTGTCAGCTAACCTTTCTTTATAATTATGACACATAGAGACCGTACCAGCCCAAAAGTTGGTCCCCAACATTTTTGGCACCAGGAACTGGTTTTGTGGAACACAATTTTTCCACAGACAGCAGGGGATGGTTTTGGGATGAAACTGTTGCACCTCAGATCATCAGGCATCAGATTCTCATAAGGAGTGCACAACCTAGGTCCCTTGCCTGTGCACTTCACAATAGGGTTCCTGCTCCTATGGGAATCTACTGCTGTGGCTGATCTGACAGGAGGCGGAGCTAGGCTGTAATGCTCTCTCACCCACTGCTCACCTCCTGCCCTGAAGCCCAGTTCCTAACAGGCTGTGGACTGGTTCCCATCCATAGCCCAGGAGATGGAGACCCCTACTGTAAGCAATGATAAACATTTATTCTTGTAAATCAGAAATTTTGAGGGGCAATTTGTTATGCAGTAAGAGAAAACTAATTCTATCATATATCTAGCTGCCTAAAATGGAAACTAATTCATTTAAAACAAATGGATTTATTTTATTCAAAGAGGTTTCATGGATATATAAGTGTCTAATTTGTGACAATTCAGCAAACTGTCTTCTTCTAATGACTGCTTTTTTCTATGTGTATTCAATACTTCAATAAATATTAAAATAGAAAAAATAATTTACAATTTTAATTATTTTACCAGATCTTCAAATTGTTCATCGTTCATACTAACACTATCCTTTTTATGATTTATTTTATAAAGGTTTCTAAATTTGTCATTTGTAATTATTTTTCTTTTCACCTGTGGAAGTTGGGTAGACAAGTAATAATTCCCTAGGCAAAATATATAAGGATACTTCACTGGGGAAACCCATAACACTACAATTTAAGACATTTGTTTCTTCCTAAGAAAAGTTAAACAAGAAAATTTGTAAATGTTCTCACCATAACTTTCAAGACATACTTTCCGGATTTTGTATTATTTTTCCATTTCAGCAGAAGATGTCAGGAATCACTGTGGTTAAACCTTTGGGATTTTATCTTTTCTCACCAAATTTTACTACATTGATTTAGGTTGCAATTATCTCACTATGATTTGTAGATATAAAATATTGCTGTGTCTTAAGTCTATTTGACTTATTTTTTTTCTTTTTATTAAAGTGTAGTCTAGTACAAAAATAAACAAAAAAAAATCAAGAAAAGGGGCGGGATACATCCATGCAATTTTTCTCTTCAATTCAAATCACACTCAATCAATTGAATATAGTCTGACTCTTTGAAACAGAACAGATAAGCAGAACTGCTTGTGTTGTATAATGATGTTATCTGATAGCAGTTTTCCTGTTTCCAGCACTTCATGTGCCATGAGACTTTCCTTCTATCTTGAAATGAAACCAGGGAAGCCCACTCAGCACTTTCACAGCTTTGAAATATATGCCAGAATTATTCTTCTGACAACCCCCATTACCTAAAACCAAGGCATTCAAACAAATGTGACATAAATGCAGTTACACTTCTCACTACCACCATCCGCCATACTCACAAATATAAATGTTATCTGGAATATTAGCATCCTAAAGGAGGCAGTGTTTTACATGATATTTTCAGGACTTCGCCATCTGGGTCAACAGTATACTTTCTAAAGAATTTTTAAGATGACATCATAAAGAACTGATATAATTGAACTTTTATATTAAAACTTCAATACTGACATGAAATCACTATTTGGATATATATTTAAGCCAAGAAAATGCCTCATGTAGTTATGCTGTAACATTGTATAAAAGAAGACTTTAAAACATGAATTTTACTGCAAAATGTCATGTTCACTCTGCAGGCATCTTGCTAAGATGATCAACTGAATTCAAGGGATGTCTCTAGGATATCTTCAGATAGAAACCATTTACCACATTTGAGTTCTTGGTGAAAATTCAGAGACATAACACAATATTTATCAAAAATACTATTGGTAGAGATCATGCCATAAAAATTTGCTAAAATTAAACAGACTAATTACCTTGGTAATTAACATCAATAGACATGAGGCCATCTAGATTATTCATAATAAAGTGAATACTGAAATTGTACACCACTCAGATTGATAAGGAAAACTGATTTAGAATACTAATATTCTCAATAATACTCATAGAAAAAAAGTGTTATTTTTATTTCAGCTGTCCAAAGCCTTTTAATTTTTTGGAAGATTTTTTTCTACCAAGATGTTGCAGTTATGTATCCTTTAACTTGCTTTTCATTTTGACACATTGGCTACTGCAACTTGCTCAAATATATTGTCTTTCCCTCTTCCCATTTAGTGTTATTTTAAAAACACGGAGAATGAGTGTTATGGGCTGAATTGTGCACTGGCTTCCAAACGTATATTTTGAAGTGTTAAAACCTCAGTACCTCAAAATGTAATTATATTTGGAGATAAGATCCTTAAAAGATAAATTAAGTAAATATTAGTCTTGTAGGGTGGGCCTAATCTAATATGACTGGTGTGTTTTTAAGAAGACTAAGTTTGTACACACAGTGACACCAGACATGTACATCCACAGAAGGATGGCCATGGAAAGACACAGTGAGGCCTCAGAAGAAACTAAGCCTGCCAACAACTTGACCAGGACTTCTAGTTTTCAGAACTATAAAAAAGCAATTTCTGTTTTTTAAGCCACCCTATCAGTGGTATTTTGTTACAGTAGCCCTAGCTCACTAATACAGTGAGGATGTTTTTTTGGGACACATAGTATGTACCAGGCGCTTTCTTTGTGGAAGAGTGGAAGAATTTAGCAAATTCCAGGAAATATTTTTGTGCTTTCTATCTGGCTTCCCTTTGACGTCATAATCGAATTAGTTTTTGTACACAGTTTTAAGCTATCGCTTCGCAGTACCAGGCATTTTCTTGCTTCTACTCCCCTGTTGTGGAGGTGTCTGTTATGGAATATGTACCTGGAATAATCTTCTCATTTTCTGGAGATTTAAACTCTCAAAATAACTAAAAAATTCCACTATCTTATAAATCCACATAATTTTTACTGCCATATAGCTTTTATTTATGAGGTGAAAACATTGGTATCACAGTAGTGACACATACAAAATAGTCTTTTACCTAATTTCTTTTCTCATTAGTGTCAGGTTGACTGTTTACTTATTAGTTATTCAATTGTTGCACATTTTAAGAATAATATTTCTATATATTCCATATAAACAAATTAATGTGTGGAACAAATGTAATAATTTTAAAAAGAAAAAACAAGATAACCCTAATGGGAAATAATACATTTATATATTAATATATGTATATATATATATACACATATATATACGTATATATATATACATATATATACGTATATATATATATACGTATATATACGTATATATAACCTAGTAATAGACACTTACCATGTACTACAGCCTATGCTAATAATACTAATAATTTTACAATAAATTTAGAAATATTATTTATATATTATTATCTAATACTTAAAGCACTTACCATGTTTCATGGTCTACATTAAGAATATATATGCAATATTTTAGTTAATCTTTTTTTTACTGAAGAAAATGTTTTCAGAATAGTAGAGAGGATCTTAAAGAGTTAAGTAACTTGCCATGGGTACAAATCTTTGTGTCATTGTTGGGATTCAAATACATTGCTTTGGACTGGATAACAGAAATATTCAAACATTAGTCTACACTGCTATTCTATATTAAGTCAATAGATACTAGGAAAAAGGCCACACATAAAATTATAACCATTACACCCAAGAAAATTAAAGCAACATTTGTTTCTGTCTCTTTGTTAAACCATACTGGAACCATGGATGCTTAATTTTCCTGTGTTAAATACTGCCGATGACCAGAAATACCTTAGCTACTGTGTTTCAGGGGGAAAAAATGCTGATCAAAGTTGCAACTGTGAACTCCCTCAAATAGCTTTCTTAATAATGCTAATAATAGCTTGTTTATCAAGACTTGCTTGAAGATTTTTGCTTCAATGTGTCATCTTTAGAACAAACAACAAACAACAACAACAAAAAAAAAAAAAACAGAAAGAAAGAAAACTGCCATAAAAGTCTGTGCAATATCACTCAGTCTTTTGCTTTGCAAGAGCCGTCCTAAAATGTCTTACTCTAGGCCCTAAGATTTTATCATTATCCTCCTTCTGGGTCTCCATTTGAGATACCACTAACACAGTCTCTGTGGTTTTCTGCTGTATAAAATATTTGACTAATACAAATAACTATTTAACAGTTTTTTTCTGATGCCTTTTAGGAAGTTTTCAGTTAACAGGCATATAACATACATAAATTTTATGTTTCACTTTGATAGAAAGTGTTTTCAATGGACTTATTCATTAGTACTATATTTATAATAACTGTTCTAGTTCACCGGCAATAATATAAAGCATCAGAGCAAAATATCAAGAGCATATGCAAGAAATGTAAATTATTTATTAAAAAGACCATTGATATTTAGGAGGCAGAAAATGTATCTCATTTGTTAGGAGCACTGAATTTGCAATATGTGGATTAAAATGAGACTGGGAGGAAAGTAAAAGATATCAATTTATGCAACAGTTTAAACACTTTACCCAAAATTTATGAAAGTGAAATTGCCCTAGGGGAATTTGTTCACATAAAGAACTAAATATACCTTTATTTTGTTTAAGAAATTCTTCCTTATTGATCTATTTCAAATAAATTCACTAGATATACTGGAACTATGAATTAATTATTCCAGAAGAAATTTTTGTGTGTATGTGAACAGGAGAGAGAAAGACAAAGTAAGGGAAAGTTTTTTAGTGAATAAAACTTTGTATTAATAAACCTTGAGAAATTTGAGGTTACAAGTATCAATGTGTTTGCCTAAAGCATCTTGCCTACTATCACACTTCATAAGATATATCAGTTTCATTTTTACATAAGATTTTTAAAAACATATTTACTTATATATCTTGGCCAGTACTGTCTTTATTTTAACACTGCAAGTCCCAGAGACCAGGAAACCTCCCATCCCTTCCAAAACAAAGCCTCATATTCACTCTATAATATTCAGCATACAAAGAACAAATCTAAAAGGCATATATGTGTTTTTTCGGATATATCAATGGAAATGATGAAACTGTAGAGAGCTTATTTTTAGTGTTTATTTATTTAAATAAGTTGCATTTTTATACCAATTTAAATCATGTATTAGTGTTCAAGACATGGGGCAAAAAGTCATGTACAAATTTATGAGTTCTCCTCAACATTGATATGAATCAAATGAAAATAGCAGAAATGTATATATGTTCACATTTGTTTTATTATTTTATAAATGCAAAGAAGTTCTATTGTGTTTTCAAAAGGATATAAAAGGACCAATATAACAATCTATACATTTTCTTATGTTCTTTCAGAAGCATTTATAGGAGTAGACAAACATCTTTAATGTATTACACTGACAACTTTTTAAAAATTATTTTTAATTGACACATAATAATAGTACATGTTTATGAGGTACAAGGTGATATTTCAAAACCTACATGCAATGTGTATCAATCAAATCAGAGTAATTAGCAATCCATCACTTCAAACATTTATTATTTCTTTATGTTGAGAATATTCAAATCTGCTCTTCCATTTGAAAATATACTATTGGTTGTTGTTTATTACAGTCACTAAATAGTGCTATGGAACACGAGAACTTACTTCTGCTATGTAGCTGTACTTTTACACCCATTAACAAATCTCTAGCTATCCCCGACATACCCTTCCCTTCCTAGCCTCTAGTAACCACTATTTTACTCTCTACTACTGTGAGATCAACTCTTTGAGCTTCCACATAGGAGAGAGGACATGTGATACTTATCTTTGTGTGCCTGTCTTATTTCACTTAACAGCCCACAAGCTAATCCATATTGCAGCTAATGACAAAATTTTGTTCTTCTTTATCACTAAGTAGTGTTTTAAACAATGGCAACATTTCTCTTATGACACTTTTATGGCAAATAAATAATATAGTTGTATTTGTTACAAATTAAAATATGATTATCTTCTTGGGCATAGTTTCTCAAATTTGCATAATAATAAAAATCAATTGAGCATTTCTGAAAGTACTTCTTCCCAGAGCCCACCCCAGGCAAAGAGGCTCAAAATCAATTAAAAATATTATTATTTGTAAATTGACTTCTCTTAGCCTAAAAATAAACACTTTCAAAATGTGTTTTCTCAAACATGAATAATTAATTCATAATGTGGGCTCCTCTTCCAATCATAAATCAAGTTTTCGAAAGAATGATCCTGAAAATTAGGAAAAGCAGTAATAATAAGAATAGTCTCAGGTTTAAGTTAAAGTAAATTATTATTTTGCTATCAGAATGAGGGGCCGCATGCAAAAGCCTAATAGATAAAATTCAGTCAGTACATTGCCACGTATATATGTGAAATTAAGGCTTCTTAAAGAAAAGAATATGTAATATCTATTGATACTTATTTAGTGTACTGAGCTATAGAAATTTCTTTGGTTTCTGGGAGTTTCAGTATTAAAACTGAGACAGCATCAGCCAATGAGGAATAGCAATTGCTACATTAATTGAATGACTGATGTAAGCAATACTATATAGAAAATAAAGATTGCTTTTTGCAACTTATAGAGTACAGATAAATTAAGACCTATTAGATGACAGTTTTGTAACTAACACACATTAAGGGAAATAGTGAATTTTTTCTTCATTTCCTATGTGAAAAATACAGATTCAGAAAATAAATAATTCATTAGAAATCTCATTAAAAATTCATTCATAAAATAACTCATTAATAAGTGTCAGACCTCAGTTTGGGAGATTCAAAAGCAAGTGCTGGAATATTCCAGAACACTTGCTCTGAGTAGGCGTGAGAGATCATTAAATAAATATTGTAGCAGATTTCTACCACTCCAAGTCACTCTTGTCAGATGAAGCTTTTGACAGTAATTGTTTTGTAAATGCATCATAGTGAAGAACTGAGGAAATGAGAAGAAACTGTATATTCAAATGTTCTACAAGGATAAATAAATGCTTTAACATTTGAAAAAAATGTATTGACTGTGCCAGATTTTTATTAGTTTATACCTGTGTGGAAAAACAGGATGAAATATGTAACAAATATTTTATGCAGTAATATTCGTGATATTTCAATTTATCTGTTTCATGATTGGCCATATTTATTCAAATAGAGTTTTGATGACAAATAAGTATTTATTCTGACATATTCAATAGGCATTACTGTATTGCCTAATGTGGTTAGGTGTTTCTATATACAAGAGAATAATTAATTATCTTCCATCATCATAACAATAACATTGTGAAAAACATCATTTATTTACAATTATGAAACTGAGCACAATATAAGAAAACTTTTAGAGTTTTCTCATTTTATACAACTATTATGTAACAAAACAAGATTTCTATACACAACTTGCTTTTTACATAATCAGTGCACATGTCCCCCAACTGAATTATTTTCAACTATAATATCATTCAGGCAAAAGTCATAAATCAAAAGAATCATATCTGCAATATTGTTTTAGCTGGAAGTTATTAGGCAATACTTCTGTAATAACAACAAAATGCAGTCACTTGCCACAAAGGTTTATTTCCTGCTCTGGCTGTGTTTTCATTGTTGGTCAGCTGACACTTCTGTGTCATCATTACCCTGTAATAAAAAAACGATAGAACGCCTTCATCTGTATTATGCCCAATTGTCCTGGCAGATAAAAAGAAAATAAAAGAAAAAGAAAAAAAAGAAAAGGTGACTATGGTGGGTCTCATATTGTTACAGGATTCCTTTGGTGCCACTTTGCCAGCTGGGAATCTCTGTGGCCAGCACTGCCTGGAAATCTCTGTGGCCACGGCTGCCTCTGGCCTGGCCTTTCTAGGGCCAGCTGGACTCGCTCTGCCTGCTCAGCCCAGCAGCCTGCACTCAGTTCACTCCCTGGCCCGGATCCCATGACTGCCTTGGCTCTATGCTCAGCTTGAGCCTGAATCAGGCGTGCTGTGAGTGGCTTCTGTATAGGGCGCAGGCGTCTAGAATAGGCGAAGGTTGGTGGTGCCCAAAACCTCAGAGATGCCAGCAATCGCGGAGCCCCAAGTGGTGTTACAGCTCTTGCTTGGGGAGTCCCAAGGTTTGGGCCCCAAGAAAAGTTGCAGCTCTTTACTCTCGTAGCTCAGCCAGTGGGAGCGTGTTATAGCTGTCTTTCTCCTGTAGTCCGGTGAGCAGGAATGTGTTATAGCTCTTTCATTCCAGCCGCCCACAGCTGAGTGAGTTCCAAGTTCTTGTCCTGTGACCAAGAGGAATAAGGTGTGTGGACACTGGAGAGTAAGTAAGGCAGAGAAGAATTTTATTGAGCGACAGAAGGAAAGCCCTCAACTGTGAAAAGGGACCCTGAAAGTGGGTTGTCATCTGTGAGGCTGAGTCTGGGCTTGTCTGGGTTTACAATGGGAGAATGTGTGCTGATTGGTCCATAGGTGTTCTTTGAAAAAATCACCATCCAATTGGTTAAAAAGCATCATCCGGAAGGAACCAATCAAGAGAGAGAAGGTAAGCTGGGGATAGAACTTCTAACTCTGATCATGAACTCTATCTGGAACTAGCAGCTCGGTTTTCAGGCTTTAAACTGTCTTCGGCTTGAAGGTCGGGTTTCACCAGGGACTCATCCCTGTTTGCCTAGGAGTGTGTCTGTCTCGTGTCACTGTCAATATTGGCATTAATTATTTAAAGATGCTGGCTTCAAAAAGAACTATTCCATCAGCACATTCAGTTCCTTGCCCAGCATTTGCCACAAAATCCCATAAACCTACAAGGTAGATTGGAAGTGCAATCTTACCAGGTGCTTCAGATAAATCAAAACAGAATATTTACCAAATACCACATTAACTGGTATAAGTTTATTATTATGAGATTAAGGCCCATATACCATATCTCACCTCTTGTCTGATTATTAAGAGATGCCTCTCTCCCAACCAGCCAAATGAAAAAAAATGAAAGATGTCCCTCTAAGTTAAATGATTTGTATTTTTTTTTCTGTTGAGGGCTTCAAGAAATTATATTGAATGAGAAAAACAAAAATAGTTAAAGGTCATTTACTAGTTTCCTGCTATAACTGACGTCTTTGCATTGTGGACACTTAGGTTATGAGGAGCATATATAAGGAAGTATGGAAAATAAATAACTAAAATTAACATTTTAAGATATTTTCTGACTCCATAAATAAAGTCAAGGTTCCGAAAGAGTATATAACAAACTTATAGTATTTGTCTCTTCTGGGAAGTAGCAATGAAGGTGTGAGAAGAGAATGTTATGCTTTGCTGCATTATATCATATATATAATTTACAATAACTTCAGGTATATTTAAATTCAAAAAATAAATGAATGAAGGAAGGAACAAAAATAATAAAGACTAAGTAAATGAAAGATATAAATATGACTAAATAAAATTATATGGGACAAAGAATGAAAAACATGGCATTTAATACTTAAGCATTTGGTTTTTATTCCATAGTATAACCAAAAGTTGGGATTCATCCCAATGAATTTAAAGGTTAACTTTGCCAAGGTTAAAGACCATGGCTCATGACACGGCCTCAGGAGGTCCAAGTCTGAGAGTATGTGCCCAAGGTGGCTGGGTTACAGCTTTGTTTTATACATTTTAGAGAGACAGAAGCTACAGCCAAAGACACAAATCCATACATGTAAGATAAATAATGATTTGGCCCAGAAAGACCAGACATCTGGAAGTTGGGGCTTTCAGGTCATAGGAGGATCCATAGGTGGATTTCATGATTTGTTTTAATGTTAATGCTGGTCAGTTGTGTGTAAACTCTGTAAACCAAAAAGTACTTCAGACAAGTCTCAATCAATTTAGAAAGTTTATTTTGCCAAGCTTAAGGATGTGCCTGAGACACAGCCTCAGGAGGTCCTGACAATATGTGCCCGAGGTGGACAGGTTACAGATTGGTTTTATACATTTTAGGGGTCATGAGACATCAATCAATATATGTAAGATGTACATTGGTTTGGTCTGAAAGGCAGGACAATTCAAAGTGGGGAAGGGGCTTCCAGCTCATAGGTAGATAAGAGGCAAATTGTTCCATTATTTTGAGTTTCTGATTAACTTTTCACTGAATATACAATTTACAGAAATAGTCACTTGTGCTTTTGTCTGGCTTAGTGAAACAGTGGAACAAAGGAAGCAATTGGGTATGCATTTGTCTCATGTGAGCATAGGGATGACTTTGTGTTCTGCTTGTCCTTTGTCCACAAGGAATTTCCTTGTGGGCAAATTGTAGGGAGATATGTAGCTTTTTTGTAGCTATCTTATTTAGGAATAGAAAGAGAGGCAGGTTTGCCCGAAGCAGTACCCAGTCTGACATTTTTCACCGGGTTAGTGATGTTAGGGTACCGAGATTTATTTTCTTTCCACAACTCCAAAGGGAGAAGGGCATAATGAGGCATGTCCAACCCTCCATTTCCATCATGGCCTGAACTAGTTTTTCAGGTATCTTTGGGGTCTCCTTGGTAAAGAAGGGGGTCCATTCAATTGATTGAGGGGCGCAGAATTTTATTTTTCGTTTAAAATAGGCAGTAAAATATCTTTTTAGGCTTCTAAGAAGGTTGGTAACATGATTAGATTTATACGCTACAAGATATATATAATATTATGCTGTATATTCAAATAAATAATGAAATAGCAGTTAGTTGTCATTCAACCACTCTATGAAAAATGAATGACACATCTCCTTATGAATCTCTGTACTAACACGTCTAATTTTAAAAATATATTGAAATTGAGCAAAAGTGAGTTTATCACAACCTAATTTCTACAATATCCTAAATGCTTACCATGTTCCAAGTACTAACTTATGTACATAGTAGCAAAGAAATATTAATCATGTTAAGTAGCATTCATCCACATTAAATCTATCAGGCATACCAAGCAAGTTCAACACATTTAATCCTCACAATACTTCACTATAGCTGTAAGATGTAGGTATTACTAGCCCAATGTAATAGATGAGAAAAATAAAATTCAAAGAGGTTTAATTACTAGCCCAAGGTCACTACCTCAAGATTGGTCCACATATGAGTCAAGATCAAGTCTGTCTGTCCTCAAAAGACATAAGTTTCCCACTAAGTTTTACTATTTCTCTATTTTGATTTTTATAGTAAGAGCAAGTTGTTTTTTTTTCTCACATAAATTTTTACAATGGGAAAAAAGTAATCAGAAAAAATTGCTCATACTGCATAAAATGTACGTAGAGGACACTGAAGCTATTAGAATGTGTGTAATTTCTTTATATTCATTTTGATTGCAGTACCAGAATAAGCTGATAACTTCGTTTCCAATTTGAATATGTAGTCACAGCAACATGTTATTTTCTGATGCCAATGTTTTTGTTTTCTTTTGGAGAAAGAGTTCGATTTTCCCTTTTTTCTTAGACAAAAAAGTCTTGTACATTTCTCAAATATACATTACCCTTATGTTTGAAAGGAGGAGATGCAAGCAGCAGCAAACAGTCTGAAAAAATCAGCAATAAGTACAGTTCAGCTATTAGGCTAGGGAAAAATACTGACATATGTATTATGTTTCATACAACCTAATGATTTTTTTTCCCAGAAACTAACTTTAGACTAAACAAGAAAACAATATTCCTTAGCTGTCACTTGAGAGAAAATTTGCCTTTAGTGAAAACAAAACTTTAGAAATAAACCCAATAGGACAAAATATACATGCTATAAAGACCTTTTTTTGAAATACCTTTTACTTTTTATTTTACATTTCCATCCAAATCTCTAATTCAGATTCCAACTAGCCAATCTTTTTAACTTATTATTGATATGGATAGGAGACAGGGAAATACTGGGTAAAAGAGGGCAGGGTCTCTGGCAAAGATTCCATCCTCAAACCTAAACCTGTGACCCTAAATGAGAACTTCACATCCTTCACATTCCCATTTTCCTGCCTGAGTGTTGCCTTTTGGCCCACCATGTCCCTCACCCTGTACCCACAAAGACCCCAAGCTTCACTGGCAGAGGAGCAGAGCAGCACAGCAGAGAAGGAGAGAAGAGAAGAAGCAGCTAAAACTCTAGAGGAGAAGAAACAAATGAGCCTTGGAGACTACAGATAGATGCAGCTTCACTCAGAGACCACCTTCTTCCTGCACCATCCCCTTTCCAGCTCCCTTTCTGCTGAGAGGCACTTCCACCTTTTAATAAAGTTCTCCACATTCATCACCTTTCAAACCATTCATGTGACCTGGTTCTTCCCGGACGCCTAACAAGAACCCGGGTACCAAGAGGGCAGGGTGTAAAAGGCTGTCAACTTGACTCTCCACTGAGCTGGTTAATACTTAGCCATCTGCAGACAGCAACTGCTAAAGGAGCATTAATTGTAACAAACCCCTAGATGCTGCTGTGGGACTGGAGCCTAAAAGTGCTCACCTTGGCCCAGGTACCCGCTCACCTGAGTTCTCCCTGTCCCATGATGGGTTTGAGCACAGTGACTAGCCAAGTAAGGAAACCACACCCGTTGCAAGTCCCACAAGGGGTCAAGGAAACTCTCCCATCTCATTATTTCACAGAACATATGCCATTGTATTGGTGTATGACAGTTGATAATATTTTTCATCATAATAATCATCTATTAAATCTTCTATTTGCCTGTCTTCCAAGTAAGCATTATTTCTCATTTAAATCAAAATTAAAAGAATTGGTAGTGCATATCCCTGTACATTTATTTTGCATGATTTTTGAATTTTAAACTTTAAATTATGTCCTTGTTTCTAAGGTGTCCCTGATTCTACAATATATTGTTCACCTTTGTTTTATGTTTTATTTTATTCTCATAGATTACCGTTATTTTATTCTTGTTCATTAGCCACATTAGATTTTATAGGTATTACATACACTAGCTGGAAACTTATTATGTTTGTGAAGAAGGATGCTTAATTGATGTACCGTGAAATACTAATCATAAATGGCAAGCTCTCAGGTGTTCACATTTACTCAGATCCTAAAGGGAGTAATGTAACTTTTTGTCTTATTTAATGACATTTTAAATGATGCTTTGTTGTGTAAACGTATCAATAAAATCAAACCTTGAAACTATGTTCCAAAGTCTTGTAAGCCTAAGGAATGCCAGACAAATTAATGCAAAATGATATAGGTTAACAATATGGGAAAAAACACAAATGATTTTTTTTAATAGTGGCACTTGCATAAGAAATCTGAATACACATGTAACTGTTCTTCCAAATATCAAACCACATGCAGTTTCAATGAAGATCATTTGTTTGTGTTTCTGTTTTTGTTTTTTTAATGCAGAAAGTCATATTGGAGCTAATAATTCTATCAGTTGGAAATCACATATCTCTTTTCTTTAAATATACATGTCACTATCCAAAATTTTTTTATGTATTCACTAGAATAAATAACCAACACCAACACACAATTTTAAATCAGGTTATTTAATCAATATTTAAAAAATAAAACTAAAATAAAAATCAAGCCTATATGGTAAGTGTAGATAAAAATGTCTAACAAATCCTAATTTTCACCGAATATAGTAAATGTGATGCATGTGTGTAATTGAAGAGAGCACCTGAACAGGCTAAGTGTGAGCAATAAGACTGTCTATTCACTCAGGTGTGAGCGGGCTGAGTCCGAAAAGGGAGTCAGAGGAGGGTGGTGGGATTGGAGCTAGTTTTATAGGTTAGTGGTAAGCAGTGGAAAGTTACAGTTAGGGGCTGTTTATTGCAGGCAGGGGAAGAATGCCACAAGGTACATTATCACAAGGTGGGAGGGGTCCCAGGGCACAGTGTCACAAGGTTGATTCATCAGTTAGGGTAGAGCAGGTTACAATGGTAGAATGTCGCAAGGTTGGCTAATCAGCTAAGACAGGAACTAGCGGCTTTTTCTTCTTTTGGGGTTTTCCTGTTGTCCCAGACTAACTGGCTCCAGGAGAACTTCTGGATGTGTACGTGTAGGTCACAGGGGTCTCAATGGCTTGGCCATAGCTCAGCCTGCTCTGAGGACCTTACAGTAAAAACAGCTAACATGTTTAGTGTTCACCATATTCGGTTACCAGGATAAATATTTTCACATACGTTATTTTACATCATTTCTGTGACATAGATATTATCATTGGGTCAATTTTATAAATGAAGAAACTGAAGCTCAAGAGTGGTAACTTGCCAAAAGTCACACAACAAAGGAATGTCAGGGTCAGCCTTTGCACGTTTGTTAGACTCAAGTCTGAATAATTACAACTGCATTAGGTGGATTTGGGCTAGGTCATGAGGCAATAGGATAAGGATGCAGGGAATGGGAAGATTAGCCTGTTAGTAGAGCTGAAGACCATTATATCTTATGTTCATTTGTTCACTTAATATTTACTTTCTTCTTACATGTGCCACATCCTCTACAATGATGATTGAGAGGTAAGAATTTGATGCCCTAAACTAGATGTTCCATAATCTTGCAATTACTTTTTTTAATTAAACCTGTTAATTTATGACTATTTCATTAGCTACCATAAGCATTTTCTAAGTGAAAGTCTAGTTCACCTGTCAAATATAGATAGGGAAGTATAAATGAAATGAACTATGAGGTGACTAGCTGAGGAAAGGTATACAATATGAAAAGCATTAAAAGGGAATGAGACAGAAACACAAAAGATTTAATGTAGGCCAGGGTCAGAATTTGAACTGTTGAAAGAAGGCAACTTTGAAGAAATTTTTAAGGGATAAAATTGATCACAATTTCTTGAACAATGGATACTTTTTATAGAACTGAAAACCAAAGAACTCCCAGCTTCCACTAAGAGGACTACACAAATCTGGGGGCATACGCTAGGAAAATAAATGGGATAGAGAAAAATTACGAAGGCACTAGAAATGGAACGTCTGGGACAGTAAAGAGGTCCATATTAAAAAGTAAGTTGAAGGCCGAGTGCGGTGGCTCATGCCTGTAATCCCAGCACTTTGGGAGGCCGAGGCGGGTGGATCACGAGGTCAGGAGATAGAGACCAACCTGGCTAACACGGTGAAAACCTGTCTCTACTAAAAATACAAAAAAATTAGCAGGGCCTGGTGGCACACACCTGTAGTCCCAGCTACTCGGCAGGTTGAGGCAGGCGAATCACTTGAACCCGGGAGGCAGAGGTTGCAGTGAGCTGAGATTGCTCCACTGCACTCCAGCCTGGGAAACAGAGCTAGATTCTGTCTCCAAAGACAAAAAAAAAAAAAAAGTAAGTTGAAAATATTTGGAATGCAGGAAATCCAAGTTCATGGCCTTTGCTTAATATTTCCTGCATTAACTGTAGAGTATCCTCCTAACAAAATGGAAGAAAATGGAAGAGAGGAGTTGTCTCGTGCAAAATCCACACTTATTTCAAAATGTTTGTATACTGGAAATAGAAGGATCAATGGAAAAGTAAAAATTGAAGTAGCTAAACATATTAGTAAAGGTCAAGAAAAACCAAGAACTGAAATATTGTTACATATTTCCACACAGTATGAAAAAATACGTATGTTTCAGTTATTCCCATCAATGAGAAAGAAGAGTGTATGAATTTGGATTCTCAATAAAAGTTGGATCATGTCATCTGTATTCTTCTCATTGTTAAAGGGAGAAATGCCACGGTTAAATTTGAGGGAAGGATAATTCTCCAAAACAAAGTATACCTTTCAGTTGTAGACTCAGAATAACCTGTTTGACCGGACTGTATGTATCCATTGAAAATGAAATTTTGAATAATTTCTCTTAACTTTTTAATATCTTCATTTATTAGTCTCTGAAATCAAGTCTGGCAGTGGCACTGTGGAAATAACAGTTTTGCTCAAGCACAGTTAAAAGGGATGTTGACAAGCCTTGTTTAATCTTATTGATTTCTTGGCCTTTTGAAAAAGGGATACATAAAAGACTTGGGTTATTCAGATCAGTATATATGGAGAAGTGCTAAAAGAGCTATAACTGTTTAATTGGCAAACATTTAGGCTATATTTCCTAAAGTAGGAACTCTGATTATAACTAGGCAAAATAATAATGTCCATTGACAATAAATAAATATTATGGTTTTAATTTCCTGTACTGCATATTTCCATGCTCTACAGCAATAACACTAATGATGTTATATAACCAGAACAATGCAGAGCTGTTCCCCAATCAAGCCACATAGAAAAGTCACCTGGGCATTTTTATATAATATTGTGTCTGTCCCTATCTACTAAATCAGATTGGGTAAAGAGAATATAGATAAAATACATATTTTTAGAAGTACCTTAGGTGATTCTTATGTAGTCACCCCAACTATTCTTTTTTCAGATCAGCTCTTGAAGAAACATATTTATTCAGAATTTTAATTTATTTGTGGCTAAAAAAAAGAAATTTCACAGCTGAGGATTAATTATACTAACATAAATTTGATAATAGAATTGAGTTTTAAGTTCTGCAATCTACAACATTCTAGAACACAGACAGAGGATTATTTAAATAATAGTACCATGTCATTTTCAAGAAATTATCCTTATGGGTGAGTTTGATTGGAAGAATTAGCTGAGCACAATTCAATAGGAAGATAGATTAGGGGATAAAGATTTCACCTAGTTTATAATATATCTTTAGTTTTGTGCTTGTCTCAACCTATTTCATAAACCTCTTTTTGCACATGAGAAAACAATTATTAACTTGGCTGATCTACACACATTTCTGATATGAGGAATATATATTTGACTTTGGAGAAAAATATATAATCATAGCATTGGGATTCTTCAATAATATCTTTATTTTTTATTCTGAGTGTGCTGTCACCACATACACAGTGGACCATAGCCTATGTTATTAGCTGACTATTTTCATGAACAGAAAGAAGAAAAAGCAAGTGAATATAGATCTCATACTCCCACTCTTGTGAGGACGGAGTTTCTAATCTGTATTTCATAATACTTATTGGGAAATGTTTGTTAGAGAATGGTCTCACTGAGCACTCTCAAGCAAGGTATAAAAAAACAAGCCCAAATTTCTGTGGATATGTGTAGTGGAAGGTATGCAAGTGTTTTATACAAGAAACTATGATATATTACTCAGGAGAAAATTAATTATATCTAACTAAATGGAAGGTAATTATTTCATGTTTATATATTGAAAAACCAGCAACATAAATATGTCATTTTTTCCCCAAATTATTCTATTTCTTGAAAGAAATACTAGCCATATATCAGCTGGGTATTTGCAGAAACTGGTAAATTAATTCTAAAATTCACATAGCAATGTAAATAGCCAGGATTGGTAGGACAAATTTAAATGAAAGGAAAAAGAGGTAGAGAATTGACAACAACAGGTATACAGATATTTGTTTGTGTTGGATGACCAATATCTTCTGATTTTCTAACGTACAGCACAGTGACTATAATTAATAATATTGTATTGTTTACTGGATATTTGCTAAGAGAACAGATCTGAAGTGACCTCACCACGAACACACACACACACGCATACATACACACAAACACACACAGTACGGTGTGGTGAAGACTGTGTTAATTAATTTTATTGTGGTAATAATTGCACAATATAAATGCTTATTGAATGATGTTGTACACCTTGAATATATACAATTTTTACTTGACAATTATTCCTCAATAAACCTGGAAAAAATCTATAATGAATCTGTAGTAATTAAGAGAGTGTGGTAATAATAACACAAGAATTTTAAAAATTCGCCAAGGGAGCGGATTACAGAGTTCAGCAATATACACGATAGGATTCCTCGAATGGACTTCTGCTTGAAACTCTCCACTGACTGGACGGTCCAAAATATTCAGAGACCTGTATTGTAACCTAGGGCACTGACTACCATTTCTTTCTTCTTTCTCTTATTTCAACAGCTATCAGGGCTGAATCGTGTTCTGAAGGTTCTTTTTGTCTTCTCTTGCCCTCTTCACCTTCACAGGTGTTTCCTCAAGATTCTTTTGATCATCTAATGTTAGCCTGGCTTCAGGGGACCCAAACTGACACTATAACCTAAGAAAAGGTGTGTGTGTTCACATGAAAAGTAACCATTGCAGCACACTACCTGGGACATGTATTCTGTACCTGTATATTAAAATGCATGGTATTATGCCAAATCAAGCCTTTTTTAAAAAAAATCATAGTCATTGAGACTAAATTTCATTTTAAGTCATTAATATTCATAATATTCACCAACTGATCTTGAATATCAGAATAACGATCATTACATTTGACATACCTGTAATTAATAAAATATTCAATTGATTTTTGAAAAGTACCATAAAACAGCCTTTTATAGAAGTACACTAATTTCAAAGTATATTTGTCTTCTCTCTTTAAATTTTGAATATTGCCACTGTAATCTAATTATCAGTGTCTTTATCAGAATTATTTGTCATTATTTATTAAGAAAATTACCCTGTCCCATGCTATGGTATGTGGGATAGAAAATAAAGTAAATATGTTGCTAATTGTGTTCTACTATATCCCGTTAATTAGATTAGACTATTTGAGCTATTCCACAATGGTAATTAATTAGCACTTGCTTGTCATTACTCTCAAGTAGTTCATGTTAATAAGGATAACATACAAATTGGAAAACTGCTGGAAGTACTGTATTTAGAAATACTACATTTGGTCATAGAACAGACCAGCCTAATCTATGTACAAAGAATTTAAATAAAAGAGAGAATCCAATGTATTATATGTTCTAATTGTAATGCCTAAAATTTAGAAAACTGAAAGATATTTTCACATAATATATTGGTTTCTATTGCTGCTGTAATAATTTGCCACAAATTTCGTGGCTTAAAACAATATCTTTTTTTCTCATAGTTCTATAAGTGATAAATCTGGTATGCCTTATTAGGTTTCCTGCTCCAGGTCTCATAAGACCAACGTAAAGCAAAATCAAGGTATCATTCACTGGGTATCACTCTATCTGGAGGCTTTGGAGAAGAATCTACTTCCAAGGTTATTCAGGTTGTTTACAAAATCCAGTTTCTTACAGGAGTGTCATTGATGGCTGTCAGCTTGATGTCTGCTACTGTACCCCAAGGCTATATGTCATTCCCTCTCAAGTGACCTCTTCCAACTTCAAAGCAACAAGGGCACATTGAATCCTTTTCCTGCTTTGAATCGCTCTGACTTCTTCAGCCATCAGCTGGAAAAAAATTCTCTGCTTTTAAAATCTCAAATGGTTAGGCCAGGCCTCTGGGATAATCTAGTATTTTAAAGTCAGCTGTGCCACATAATATGTAATAATGGCAGAGATGTCTCTCATAGTCACATGTTCCAGGGATCAGAATATGTCATCTTGCTGGTGGGGAGGGTTAGGATTCTGCCTGTGATACACAGATTACCTATGAAGATGGTATAATAATTATGACATTATCATGATCACAATTAAACTTTCAGAGGCTCAGAGATTGATAGCAATTTATATAAATTCTGGTAGTTTGTAATAAAGTTAGCTAGCTCTCGAATCAAAAATCTTTGAATAAATTTATTTCCCAAACAAGTATTCTTATAAGAACTGAGCTACACAGATACAAAAAAGGAAGACGTAAATACCTCCAATGGTCAATACAATGATATGGGGTTTCATTTTTGGTTTGGTTTTTTATTTTGGTAAAAGATAATCTGTGGAAATAAAGGTAAATAAAGATACTATCACATAATCTGAGTGGCACAGGCTCAATATATATTTGGTTATACAGATTATACGACACAGCAATCACTAAACATATAGAATTTTTTTTTTTTTTTTTTTTTTTTTTGAGACGGAGTCTTCTCTGTCACCCAGGCTGGAGTGCAGTGGCACAATCTCGGCTCACTGTAAACTCCGCTTCCCAGATTCAAGTGATTCTCCTGCCTCAGCCTCCTGAGTAGCTGGGATTACAGGCCTGCGCCGCCACCGCACCCAGCTAATTTTTGTATTTTTTTTTTTTTTTTTTTTTTTTGAGACGGAGTCTTGCTCTGTCACCCAGGCTGGAGTGCTGTGGCGCGATCTCGGCTCACTGCAAGCTCCGCCTCCCGGGTTCACGCCATTCTCCTGCCTCAGCCTCCTGAGTAGCTGGGACTACAGGCGCCCGCCACTAGCCCGGCTAATTTTTTGTATTTTTAGTAGAGACGGGGTTTCACCATGTTGGCCAGGATGGTCTCGATCTCCTGACCTCGTGATCCGCCCGCCTCGGCCTCTCAAAGTGCTGGGATTACAGGCGTGAGCCACCGTGCCCGGTTTTGTATTTTTTTTTTAGTAGAGACGGGGTTTCACCATGTTGGTCAGGCTGGCCTCGAACTCCTGACCTCGTGATCTGCCGGCCTTGACCTCCCAAAGTGCTGGGTTTACAGGTGACAGTCACTGCGCCCGGCCAGTATATAGTAAATATTTGAGCTCATAAGTGATTACATTCAGCAGAACATCCGAAAGATTATTCTCAATTATCATTTTAATGGTCTATTTCTCTTGACCTGGCACTACCTAATATATAAGCCCTTCCTATATATAATTATTGAGCACTTAAAATACGCTATCAGATATAAAAAGCATAATTGATATTGAAGGTTTGGTATGTAAAAGCAAAAATATAAGATATTGCATTAATACTCATGTAATGATTACATTTGAAATAATATTTTGAAAATATTAGGTAAAATAAATTAGTAAAACTAACCTTAACTGCTTCTTTTTAATTATTCTTAATGTGGCTTCTTGAAAAATTTTTAATTACATCTGTGTCACATTATGTATCTATTGAACAATGCTGCTTTAAAACAATATAACAAGAAATGCTCTTCAGGATACATTTCTTGTATATCATTGTTTATCTAAGAGGAAATGGTTTATTTTTCTATTATCTACAGATCACCAAATAAATTATTTATAAATAAATATGTTATTCTTTTGCAAATGCTCAATTAATTTAAGTTGCTAAAAAATAAAAAGGAATAATCAGAATTTAAAGCTGTAAAAGCTATTAGATTATTAGAATCAAAATAGAATATAAAGCGATGTGTCTAGTATAATCTCATTTTGCTCTTGTCTTTGTATTCCAGATCATTCCTCCGCTTGTTGAGCTCATTTCTTCTCTCCTTGTAGGTCTGATAAATTGACCCCAGTGCTCATCTATTAATTCAAAAGAAGCTTTGTGCTTGCATCAGCGCTGCCTGACACAGGGGAAAATGAGAAATGCGGCCATTGATATACAGAGAACGGCAATGTGGCTAAACTGAAGAGAGTAGGCTTTTGGCCAGCTACTTCCAACATGGCTCATTTCAAATTCTCACTTGTTCAACTAAAACAAAATATTAATGAATCTGCTGAATAAAGCTTATAAATGCTGAAGAATTAATAAGGGTGAAATCTGAAGGGCATAAGGATATTTTTTTCAATAAATTCTCTTTGACCACTCATGCTCAGGTGTGTTATATGTTACCTCTTGTTTTTATGAATCCTTCCATTGTTGTAAATGGGCTCTGTATAACCTTTTCAATTAGGAAAGATCAAAGAGACTTTGATAAAATATATTGCAAAGTTACCTATGCTTTAAAATTTAATAAAAATGACCAAATGACTAAGCAAGCACTGTTTGGTTAGAAAGTAGATTAATGTCAAGAATTATACTGAATGTAGGTAGCTATATCAAAAAAGAGTGATCATATGTATGGTTATGTTGCAAGGAGGAGAAAATAGTTAGATTTCTTAGTTTAAAAATAATTACCGGTGCTGGACGCCGTGGCTCATGCCTGTAATCCCAGCACTTTGGGAGGCCGAGGTGGATGGATCACAAAGTCGGGCGTTCAAGAACATCCTGGCCAACGTAGTGAAGCCCCATTTCCACCAAAAATACAAAAATTAGCTGGGCATAGTGGTGTGCACCTGTAGTCCCAGCTACTCGGGAGGCCGAGGCAGGAGAATCACTTGAATCTCCTGGGAAGCGGAAGTTTCAGTGAGCCGAGATGGCGCCACTGCACTCCAGCTTGGGCAACAGCGTGAGACTTTGTCTCAAAAGTAATATTAATAGTATTCCATGGTGTATATGTGCCACATTTTCTTAATCCAGTCTATCATTGTTGGACATTTGGGTTGGTTCCAAGTCTTTGCTATTGTGAATAAAAAATGATGAGTTCATGTCCTTTGTAGGGACATGGATGAAATTGGAAACCATCATTCTCAGTAAACTATCGCAAGAACAAAAAACCAAACACCGCATATTCTCACTCATAGGTGGGAATTGAACAATGAGATCACATGGACACAGGAAGGGGAACATCACACTCTGGGGACTGTTGTGGGGTGGGGAGAGGGGGGAGGGATAGCATTGGGAGATATACCTACTGCTAGATGACGAGTTAGTGGGTGCAGCACGCCAGCATGGCACATGTATACGTATGTAACTAACCTGCACAATGTGCACATGTACCCTAAAACTTAAAGTATAATAAAAAAAATTTTTTAAAGTAATATTAATAATAATAATTACTGGAATGCAAATTTAGTTTCTTAACACATATAGGCACCAACTTAATTGAATAGAATTTTATTTGCTATGTTTACCTTTCAAGTGCATATTTTTTTACATAAAAATTTTGTGAGAAATGTTTTCCTGTGTTTAAAAAGGAGTAAAGGTGTAAATTAAAGTGTATATATTTTATGGTAGCTACAGACAGCTCCATGTAAGTAGTACGAAGAAAGTAAACCTGCATTTATGTTAACTATGCATGGTTTCCTTGAAGACAAGATAATTTATCACACATTTGTCTCTTGGTATTTGCAGGAGATTGGTTGCAGGACCCCTACATATACTAAAATCTGAAAATCCTTCAGTCCCTTGCATAAAATGTTATCATATTTGCATATAACATACACAAACTTTCTTACAAATTGAAATCATCTCTAGATTGCTTATGATACCTAATGCAATGTAAATAGTATGTAAACAGTTGTTATACTACACTTTTGAAATTAGTATTGGTTTTTATTGTTATATTGTTATTTTTATCTTTTTTTCTTATGTTTTTTATCTAAAGTTGGCTAAATCTGCAAATGCAGAACCTGTCAATTTGGAAAGTTGACTGTACAATATTCAAGCTTCAAAAATTTTAAACAGTAATAGTTTTGGAAGATTAGTGATGTGCTGGATTTGTGAAGAATGGAAGAGCATCGTTTTAAACACTTGGCTAAATATATTGGTGATATTTAAAATGGGTAATAAAGCATTCAACTAAAATTTTTGAAAAATAACAGACTAATAATCACTAAAGATAAATATAAAAGTAGTGTTTTTTTTTTAATAAAAGGGAAAAGCAGTTAATTTAATGCAAATCCAGATTTGGTTCTTGAAAGACTCAGAAGCTTGTAACAGCCCTTCTTACTCAAATTATGAAAAAGAATACAAAACCACTACAGTCGAATCTAGACAATAAAATAAATAAATATACTATTAAATATACATAAATATACCATTAAAATTATTAGAGATTACTTGCTATAGTTAATTGTAGGATATTGCTTGCTCCATGGTAATAAATATGAGCATTTGATTGCCATGCTGAATTTTCTTGGAAAATGAAAAAAATTCAAAGTGAGTTAAACAGAGGTTGAAAATATAAATAAACTGAGAAAAGAAATTTGGTAACTTTTCATAAAACAAACCTTTGGAAAATAGCTCACTTCATGAAAAAATATTTTTACATCTTAAGGATATATAATTATTGTGCAACTTTAAAGTTTTCATAACATAAAGGAAACAGTAATTTTTTAAATTATTTTAAAAGTAAATGCACAATTGATGCAAAGACTTAAGAAAAATATATGAAATAAAAATAAAGATTTATAGAATTCATATTTATGCCTATAGAGTCCAAAATTACATTATTACTAAGTATAATTCAATGTGGTATTTGAAACATAATTTACCACATTATATTCCAACTTCTTTTATGTCTGTAGCCAAATAACTATGTATTTGTTAAAGAAGTGTTGTTGTGTTGTATGAAAATTATAGGATTTTTTTTATTTTTATTTTTTTAAATAACAAGTAAGCTTTAGACTTTTCTCTGTCTTCTTTCCTGCTGTCTGGTAAGCACAGGTGATGGCTAATGCTCCTGTAGCCATTTTGTACTATAAGGTAATTTTGATTATAAAATTACATGGTTTGAGGCTGATAGAACAAACCTGGTTCAATGTTCTTTCCATAGTGCTGACAAATTAGCCTATTCTTTATGTCTCTGTACCTATTTATTTGAGAAAATTAATTTATGTTTCTTTATGCCCTTATTGCTCTATCCTAAACCTAATTCAACAGGTAAATTATCCTGACAGCTTAAATTTACTTTATCCTTGGAGCATGTCTTGAAGATGTAATAAGGATAATGTGTGGGGAACAGTTAAGAAATTAAACGAGTGCTCAATGCAAAATGTGTAACATGTGAGAATTTGAGTAAGCAGTATAAGACCAAATTATAAAAATATTATAATTTATTTTCAACAAATATAAAAATATTTGAAAGAATTAGTCAAAATATAATAAAAATGTAGTGGAGGAGATCATGAAGTCCTGAATTAAATCAACGGTGTGAGAAAAACCTTAGAAAAAATTTGTCAGTAGATGTAAAATTACTAAGTTTTTGTAATGATAGTTCAGCTGTATTATATTCTAAATTTAGAAAACAGACAAAAATATTAAATATAATCTGTTATACTACAATTCATGTTGTTTATGTAGTTTATGTTGTGCGATATCCGATTCCACAGTGTTGCTAGTATTACATAGATGTAGCGTTACTTCATGGGTAATTTTCATAATACACAAAAGTATGAATCATTAAGGGGCACTTTCCTAAGAAAGCTTAAGCAATATATAAAAATCTTTAGAAAAAAATGTTGAAATTTCTGCAGAAGCTGAATTCTTTATATAGTCTTCATATAAGTAATGGCTTCAAGAACTACTATATTTTTGCCAAAACTTTAAGTAAATTGTGATGCTGACAGTGCAGAAAGTGTAGATGTAAAGCCATTTCTTGTTACAATATTGATTAGTAATGAATGCTATGCCACGTATCAAATTTAAATTTTGATGGAACTGGTCTCTAGTGGAAGAACATGCTGCCAAACAACCTACGATTCTAAGAAAGAAGCTTCAGTTTTCAAGTTAAAGATGCAGAATATTTAATGATAGTGGTCCCAGACATTATTGCCAATGGAGATCTAACAGGGCTATTTAAAATAAGATTATTTATGGTCTTGGTAGTGCTCTAATTAAAATTCACATAAGTTTATGTGGTTTGCGAATGATCGATTTTTAGTTGTGTTAAAATAAAAACTTTAAACAAATTAAATTTTACGGAGTTAATTCAGCAAAAAGCAATTGACTCTCCATGAGTCCATGCTTAACATTGGATTTATATGCTCCTAAATACCAATTTTGTTACCTTAATTCGAGTTCCTAAAACTGCTTAACAAATGGGTTATCACTGGTAATTCGACTTGTGCCATGGAGTTCATCCAAATTACATATTTTAATAATTTTAGTGCTGGCTGATTTAGCATGAAATCTTGCAGGCTGTGTCCTTGGTGTGTAACTAAATTTTATACCACTCGGGTTAGCAGATTTATGAACCAATCAGTCTCCTGGAGTTTTGGAAATTCTTACTCAAACCAAATGATGTGATCTCATAGTTACTGAAAATCTGTACTCAAGAGTGCTTGTCAGCACCTTTTCCATCTTTTCCATGAATCTTTTTGGAGAAATAATACCGTAGGATTCTACTTGCCTGTGAAGAGCTTACAGAAACTACATCAGAGTTAAGCAACTAACCGTAGAAACAACTTAAAATGCTCATAGTTAAAAACACAGTTGACAAGAAAATTTGGTTATTTCTGTGGCCCACAATAATTTAATATAATTACAATAATTATGACTAATAAAAATACCAAGATACATCAAAATTTTATGAATCTCATACAACATTAGGACATACATTAATAACATAGTAATTGAAACCTAACTCAAAAAGGTTAAACATTTTTTTCTTACAAAGGCTTAAAATAATCAAAATAGAATCACAAGTCATTAAAAAATAATAGTCATTCATTTAGCCAAAGTGGTAAAAAAAATTAAAAAAGCAAAAACTTTTATTCTTTGATAGGAGACTCAATTTTCCAATCGAAAGAGCTGAGGAAAATAGCCTGAGACAGACTGTTTTCTTCTCTCCCTTGTCTCTCTTTTGTTCTCTCTCTCTTTTTTTTTTTTTTTTTTTTACGGTTTACTCAAAATGTGAATAAAAATCTTCTACTATCACAATTGTGCCACATGAAAATTCTTGTTTAAAAGAGAAAACCATTCTAAAACTAATGTAATAAACTCTAATAAGCCAATCTCAGTCATTATTTTGACCACACAAGAGTTCCAAAAACCTTTTATTATCTCTTACAAAATTTTATTCTATTTTATTTCTCTTTCCAACTTTCTCTTTCCAACTCTTTATTTAATTTTATCTATATCTTTTCATTTCTTTAATTCAAAGCAATATTAAAGTAAATTTGAAACTAGACAAAATTATTTTTTTCAAAAACACACATTTTCATGCCTTTACAACTTTCATTAAAAAGTGTAACTTGCTTTTTAATATACACTTTATATATGGAATATTTTATATCTAGTAGTTTTAATCATACATATTAACTACAATTTTAACTCTTAGGAAGCCTAATTTTTAGTGAAAACATAGGAAGTAAGTAATTATGTACAGTTTTATATCAGTATTTGTAGATGAAATCCATTTCATGATATTTTAGAAAGATATGCTTCTTTAATGTTTTGCTTATTAATAGATCTAGATATATTTAGCTTTTCTAGATTATAGAAAAATTAGATGACAAAGTATGTCAGCTGAAACAGATATTTAATAATTAATGTTTCACTAATTACTTACAAATGACTTAGAAATTTTATAATAACTATTATTTAATTTAATATAACATGACTTTAAGATTTTAATTACTGAAAAGTGAAAAGCATTTTGAAACTATGACACAGGTATCCTCCCTTATGTCTTCCCCAGTCATTATAGGTCTCAAGTAGCCATATGACACCCAGGATATTTATGAAGGGCAAGGATCATCTGGGTGTTGAACTTACTCACCAGTTATAGCACTTAGGACAGAAGATAAAGCTGTAACTACGTGTGGAGGGTTCAAGCCCTCTCAGCTTGCCCAGGAGGCAAAGCTAGGCCATAGAGGAAGGAGTCATAGTGGGTTTGACTTTTCTTTGCAGCTGGTAGTGAATTCACTGAGGACATGTTCCCAGGCCTCACCTTGGCCACCTGTCCTGACCCTAGAATCAAGAAGCTCAATACTGAAAATATAGACTAACAATTACATCAGGCAAGTATCAAAAAGGTTATAGAAGCAACAGTTTTATGACCTTAAAACACAAAGTAGAGGCAACATAAACCTGTCTGACTGTAAAACACATAGCAGAGACAACATAACCTGTCTGACCAGTAGACACATGCAAAAATGTCTGAATTATATTAAACTGATAATTCTGAAGCCATTTCTATTTTAGTTTACCAACAATTTTAAAACTATTTTTATCAAATATTATTATATACAGGTAACACCTATAGAAATATAGACAAACAGAGGTAGATCTTAGCTTTTATAAAGAATTCTCATTTGCCAGTTTTCAAATAGTTTTTCTTTTCCCCATTCAGCCTATCAACCCTCAAATGACCTGTTTCCTTGGCTTTAGCAATTGTTAGCTAAACAACCCCAAATTTACATTTCTAAAGGGATGACTCAGGTGTTACAAGGTAGAAAATTTGTATCTCAAAAGCACATAGCTGACACTTTAGCTTTAAATATTGCTCAAATATTTGAAAAATCATTTATTCAAATTAAATTTAATAAGTTGAATACATTTATTAAGTTAATCTACTGCAAATTAAAATTAAAATTAATTTACTGCAAATTAAAATTAATCTACTGCTTTCTTACATGTCTAAAAATTTGATCAATAAACTTTCTCTTCTGCCTATGAAATGCATTTTTATTAAAAAAGTAAAGGGTGACTACTAATTTTGCTCAGAAACACAAAACTGATTTGTTACTCATCTGAAAGACTTTAGAGATTAAATTTGAATAAATGCAAAATCATAAAGCTCTTCTTTAAAAAGTACAGGGAATTGAAGTTATACACAAGACTCAAAAATATTTTGATGTTTGATTTCTCAAGGGATGGTAGTGACTCATATAATTTCCTTTTTACAAAGCACTATTTATTCTTGGTAATCAAATCAACATATGGTACATTATTAAAATAGTTTTTATAAAGCTATTTGTCTTACACTAATAAAACATTTAAATATGATTTATTTGTGTAATATCTTTCCTAGCTAATTCTTACAGTATTTAGTATCATCCATGTTTTGTATATTTCACTAATCGAAACATGACTAACAGTGTGCAGTATTTATCAAAGCTTAATGTTGTAGCAAACACATTCTATAGGGAATGTGTCCATTTTATAAGTTCTCATACATAACATTGCAACTAAAATGATAGATTTTACGTACTATTTGTTTTCCCATATAACCTAAGAAATTCCTGATGTCAGAAGCTTTTATTTTTGAAAGTAGTAAAAGGTGAGAAGTTATTTAGATTTGAAATTTGTTTGTTTCCCAAAAATTGTAATTCTCACATCAAGTGAGGAAATGTTTGAAAAAATTGAGAATTACAACAATGGGTATCTCTATTAGTCTGTCCGCATGATGCTAATAAAGACATACCTAAGATTGGGTAATTTATAAAGAAAAGAGGTTTAATTGACTCACAGATTCACAGGGCTTGGGAGGCCTCACAATCATGGCAGAATGTGAATAAGGAGCAAAGCCATGTCTCACATGGAAGCAGGAAAGGGAGCTTGTGTAGGGGAACTACCCTTTATAAAACCATCAGATCTTGTGAGACTTATTCACTATCACAAGAACAGCACTGGAAGTACCTGCCCCCATGATTCAAGTATTTCCCAATGGGTGTCTCCCACCACATGTGGGGATTATTACAATTCAAGGGGAGATTTGGGTAAGGACGCAGAGCCAAACCATACCATTCTACCCTTAGCCCCTCCCTAATCTCATGTCCTCACATTCCAAAACCAATCATACCTTCCCAATAATCCCCCAAAGTCTTAACTCATTTCAGCATTAACTCAAAAGTCCAAGTCTAAAGTCTCATCTGAGACAAGGCAAGTCCCTTCTGCCTATGAGACTGTAAAGTCAAAAGCAAGTTGGTTACTTCCTACATACAATGAGGGTACAGATATTGAGTAAGTGCACCCTTTCTATATGGGAGATATTGGCCAAAATGAAGAGGCAACAGACCCTGTGAAATTTCAACATCCAGCAGGGCAGCCAAATCTTAAAGCTCAGAAAGGATCTCCTTTGACTCCATGTCTCACTTCCAGATCATGCTGATGCAAAACGTGGGCTCCCATGGCCTCGGGCAACTCCACTCCTGTAGCTTTGCAGGGTACAGCTCCCCTTCTGGCTGCTTTCATGGGTTGGTGTTGAGTGTCTATTGCTTTTCCAGGCACACGGTGCAAGCTGTTGGTGGATCTACCATTCTGGGGTCTGGAGGACAGTGGCCCTCTTCTCACAGCTCCACTAGGCAGTGCCACAGTGAGGATTCTGTGTGGGGGCTCCCACACCACATTTCTTTTCCACACTGTCCTATCAGAGGTTCTCCATGATGTCATTTCCATACATCCTCTGAAATCTAGACAAAGGTTTCCCAAATCTCAGTTCTTGACTTCTGTGCACCCATATGCTCAACACCACATGGAAGTTGCCAAGGCTTGGAGCTTGCATCCTCTGAAGTCATGGCCTGAGCTATACCTTGGCACCTTTTAGCCATGGCTGGAGCAGCTGGGACACAGAGCACCAAGTCCCTAGGCTGCACACAGCAAGGGGTCCCTGGGCCTAGCCCAGGAAACCATTTTTCCTCCTAGGCCTCTAGGCCTGCGATGGGAGGGGCTGCTGCAAAGGTCTCTGCCATTCCCTAGAGACATTTTCCCCATTGTCCTGGTGATCAACATTTGGCTTCTCATTACTTGTGTAAATTTCTGCAGCTGGCTTGAATTTCTTCTCAGAAAATGGGTTTTTCTTTTCTACTGCACCATCAGGCTGCAATTTTTTGAATCTTTTATGCTCTGCTTCTCTTTTTAACATAAGTTCCAATTCCAAACCATATCTTTGTGAATACATAAGGCTGAATGCTTTTAACAGCACCCGAATCACCTCTGTAAGATACCCTAAATCATTTCTTTCAATGTCAAAGTTTCACAGATCTCTATGGCAGGGGCAAAATGCAGCTAGTCTCTTTGCTAAAACATAGCAAGGGTCACCTTTATTCCAGTGCCCAGCGTGTTTCTCATCCCCATCTGAGATGAGCAGCATTTGGTCAAAGCCATTTAGCAAGTCTCTAGGAAGTTCCAGTCTTTCTCACATAATCCTGTCTTCTTCTGAGCCCTCCAAACTGTTCCAACCTCTGCCTGTTACCCAGTTGCAACATCGCTTCCACATTTTTGGGTATCTTTACAGCAGCACCCCATTCTACTGGAACAAATTTACTGTTAGTCTGTTTGGACACTGCTAGTAAAGACACACTGGAGACTGGGGAGTTTATAAAGAAATGGGGATTAATTGACTCACAGTTCCACATGGCTGAGGAGGTCTCACAATTGTGGTAGAAGGCGAATGAGGAACAAAGTCACATCTTACATGGTAACACGGAAGAAAGAGCATGTACAGGGGAACTCCCCTTTATAAAACCATCAGATCTTGTGAGACTTGTTCACTATCATGAGGACAGCGCAGGAAAAACCCACCCCCATGATTTAATTACCTTCCATCTTGTCCCTTACATGACATGTGGGGATTATTACAATTTGAGGTGAGATTTGGGTGGAGACACAGAGCCAAACCATATTAGTATCTGTGTCAGGACTACATAAATATCTCATAATTCACTAGGGAATGGATTATAGTCATATACTAGTGGAATAGAAAATAGTAATATGTTTACATTTCAATTTAATAAACATTACTCTTTAGAAAAGTTTTCATATATAGAAAAAAAGATATTGTAAAGTTTCCTATACCACAAATCATTTTCTCTATCAATATCCTACAGTAGTATCAAACATTCATTATAATTAATTAATCAAAGTTGATGTGTTATTATTAACTAAGTTCACAAGTTATTCAGTTACTCAGCTTTTCATTGTATCTTTTTTCTGGAACCAGGGTTCCATTTAGATTTCCACATTACCCTTAGACATATGGTCCCTTAGACTTCCCTTGACTATTATAGCTTCTTTTCTCATTTTTGATAATTTTGGCAGTTTTTAGATGTACTAACCAGGTATTGGTAAAATGTCCCTCAATTAATATTTCTTTTATGTTTCTAACATGATTAAACTAGAGTTCTGAGTTGTAGGAATCACAGAGGTTAAATGTTATTTTTATCTAATTCTATGAAAGCTGCATGATATCAGTGTGGTGTGACTGTTGAGGTTGACTTTGACCCGTTAGTTGTTAAAGTGTCTTCTTTTTTAATGTAATGTCCCTCTTCCCTTTACTGTACTCTTTGGAAGGAAGTCATTATATGCAATCTACATTTAAGGAGTGAAAACTTATGCTCCTCCTTGTGGGCAAACTCTCTACATAAATTATTAGAAATTTGTCTCTTCTTTAAATTTATTTATTTATTGAGAGCTTGGTTTTGATTATGTATTTATGTAAATATGGCTTCATGGGTATTTATGTTACAATTTGGGTTAAAATTCAACATTACTTAATTTTGTTGCTTAATTTTTTTCTAGTTCTGTTCTTTGGGAGCTATTTTGGTAGGCTCTGGTCCCCTTGATACTTTTCATTGTGTGGTTGTTTGGTTTGGTTTGTTTGGTTTTCAGCACTTCTGTTTTTACTCTAAGCTCAACTTCTACATTTTCTGCTCCAGCCCTAGAATCAGGTATTTCTCCAAGGAGTCTTTTGACAGCCGTTTTTGAATGAGGCTATCTCTCCTGGATTCTTTTATTAAAGAATTATATCAGAGACCAATATTTGAGTTTATTGCTACTAGGGTATTACTACTTCTTTCAGAAGACCATTCAAGAAAATATATTTGTGTATATGCTATGTGTATATGCATTTTTGCAAATATTTCTACATATAAACATCTGTATCCACATTAAGCTACCTGAGTTTAAACAGAGGTATCCAACTTTAATGTATCACCTCATGGACATTACCATATAGCCTATATGTAACTTCTAACTCAAACAATGAGAAACTTGCTTCCCACCATTAGCCATCTATTTATACTGATGTTATGACAAGATAAAAGCAATAGAAGTAAATGTATGTTGTGAAAATCAAAGAGAACAAGAAAAAAAATCTGCAGATTTTCTTCTTCAACATCCTCAGAAAACTAAAATCATCCACTAAAAGATTATTTTTTGCACTGAGAGAGAAAACACTCTTTAACTATGAATCCATTTCAAATTGTTAAAATAAACAGACATGAAATTAAAAGAGCCATAAGCATAGAATGTTTTTCTGTTTGTTTGTGTTGTCTATTTCTTTCAGCAGTGCTCTGCAGAGATGTTTAATCTCCTTTTTACACTTAGATGTATTTCTGAGTATTTTAATTTCTGTGGCTATTGTAAATGGAATTGCATTGCTGATTTGGCTCTTGGCTTGAAAATTATTGGTGTATAAAAATGCTAATCATTTTTGTGTATTGATTTTGTTTATCAGTTCCAGGAACTTTCTGGAGCAGTCCTTAGGGTTTTTTAGCTATAGATCATATCATCAGCAAAGAGAGATAATTTGGCTTCTTTTTCTGCTTGGATGCCTTTTATTTCTTACCCTTGCCTAATTGCTCTGGTTAGAATTTCTAGTACTATGTTGAATAGGAGTAGTGAGAATGGGCATCGTTGTCTTGTTCTGGGTCTTAAGTAGAATACTTCCACCTTTGGCCCATTCAGTGTGATGTTGTCTATGAGTTTGTTAAAGATTGTTTTTATTAGTTTGATGTATGTTCCTTGGATATCTAGGGTATTGATGGTTTTTATCATGAAGTTATTTTGAATTTTATCAATAGCTCTTTCTGCATCTATTGAGATGAGAATATGGTTTTTGTTTGTAATTCTATTTATGTGGTGAATTACATTTATTGATTTCTGTATGTAGAACCAACTTTTCATCTCAGGAAAAAAAACTGACTTGATCACGGTGAATTAACTTTTTGATGTGCTATTGAATTCAGTTTGCTAGTATTTTGTTGAGGATTTTTGCATCCATGTTCATCAGAAATATTGGCCTATGGTTTTCCTTTTTCATTGTGTCTTTCCCTGTTTTGGCATCACGGTGATGTTGGCTTTTTAGCATAAGTTAAAGAGAAGTTCCTCCTCCTCACATTTTTGGAATAGTTTCGGTAGAATTGGTACCAGGTCCTCTTTGTACATCTGGAAGAATTCAGCTGTGAATTTATCAGGTCCAGGTATTTCAATTTCATCCTGATTCAATCTTGGGAGTCTGGGTGTTTCCAGGAATAAATATTTAGTTTTAGATCTAAGATTTGATCATAGGTCAGAATGAAGATAGAATAATAACCATTTACATATTTTATTTACTGCCAAAATAGAAATAATGAAACTAAAATATTGGAAAATAAGAGATGAAACAGGAAAAAACATACATTTATTGATTATGATATAAACAATAATATGAGGCAAAGTATACCAATAAAAATGTATAAGCTAAAAAAATTAATAGAAACAGTTGACTACACATATTAAAATGGCTTAACAGTAAATCTAACAAGTATACTTAAAATACAAACATTTATACTTTTAGATAAAATTTAAACATTGGAATAATTATATTCTCTAATGAGTAAATGTAAAAATCAAATCACCAATTTAAAAAATTTAAGATGTCTTAAAGGGAGGAACCCAAATCAATGTTATTTCTATGAGACTCAACTAAAACAGCGTGTTTAAATATAAATAATGACAATACAAATAAAACCAAGAAGAGTACCTTTTGCCTGAGTACCAGGCAAAAGTTTCAACTGGGCACAAATTTTCTTGAGCGAAGTCCAGGGGACAAGCAGAAGATGCTGCAGGTATGAGCGAGTGCAGGAACACAGGGGCTGCCAATGATGGAGTGGGAAGATGTGAAGAGGCTAGGTGCAAAAGCCATGTTTGCTTTCTCAGTGGGGCTTCTCACAGCCTGAGGCAAGGTTGAGCAAGGCACTGCTGGAATGAGACTGATCTTGCCAGCTGTGTGGGAGCTGGGTGGGACTTCTCACTACTGGTTATCCCTCACTTCCCGGGTGAACTATATAATACAGAAGAGGTGGCCAAGGTCGCCTAAGAAACATAAACTCCATTGGCCTGAGAACAACCCCCCATTACCCATAGTGGCCAAGGTAAGCCCTACCCAAGAAGAGTTTGAGCCTAGACCTGCTTAACCCTGCCCCCACCTGATGGTATTTCCCTTCCTGCCTTTGTAGCTGTACACAAAACATAGAAACTCTTGGGAGCTTAATGGCCCTGCCCATTGACATAGAATTCAAAATAATTACCCTGGCCACCTTAGGGTAATCTTAGAGTCCCCTACTACTATCATAGCTGGTGCTCTGTTGAAAGTACCACTTCCTGGCTGGAGGCCAGCCAACTCAAAACTAGAGCTCCTAAATTTATAAAACAATTAGTAACTAGATTTAGAAATGAGATAGATAGCAACACAATAATGGGGGGAGGATTTCAATACTCCACCAACAGCACCAAAGAGGTTATCAAGACAGAAAGTCAAGAAAGAAACAATGGACTTAAACTATACCCTAGAAGAAATAGATTTAACAGATATTTACAGAACATTCTACCCAAAAACTGTAGAATATGCATTCTTTTCTTCAGCACATAGAACATTCTCCAAGATAGACCATATGATAGGTAACAAAACAAGTCTCAATAAATTTAGAAAATTAAAATTTTATCAAGTGTTTTTTCCAGACCACAGTGCAATAAAGCTGGAAATTAACTCCAAACAGAACCCTCAAAACTATACAAATACATAGAAATTAAATAATCTGCTTTTGAACGACCTTTGAGTCAACAATAAAATCAAGATGGAAATGTAAAAACTTCTTTAAGCTGATAATGGTGACAAAATGTATCAACACCTCTGAGATACAGCAAAAGCAGTGCTAAGAGGAAAGTTTATAGCGTTAAATACCTACATCAAAAAGTCTGAAAGAGCACAAGCAATCTCTACAAATTCAATGTAATTCCATCAAAGTGCTATCACCATTCCTCACAGAACTAGAAAAAAAATCACAGAACTAGAAATCACATCTGGAGGCATCACATTACCAGACTTCAAACTTTACCACAAGGCTGTAGTTACAAAAACAGCATGGTACTTGTATAAAACATAGGCATGTAGACCAACTGAACAGAACAGAGAACCCAGAAAGAAAGTCAAATAGTTACAGCCAACTGATCATCAACAAAGCAAACACAAACATAAAATGTGGAAAGGACACCCTATTCATTACAGGATGCTGGGATAATTGGCAAGCCACATGTAGAAGAATAAATGGATCTTCCTGTCTCATCTTATACAAAAATCAACTCCAGATGGAGCATAAACTTGTATCAAAGACTGGAAACCATAACAATTCTAGAAGATAGCATTGGAGAAACTCATTGGCTTAAGCAAAGAGTTCATGACCAAGAACCCAAAAGCAAATGCAACAAAAACAAAAATAAATGGATAGGACTTAATTAAACTAAAAGTCTTCTGTACAGCAAAATAAATAATCAGCATAGTAAACAGACAACCCACAGAATGGGAGAAAATATTAAAACATATACATCTGACAAATGACTAATATCGAGAATCTACAAGAGACTCAAACAAATCAGGAAGAATAAAACAAATAATCTCGTCAAAAAGTAGGCCAAGGATATGAATAGACAATTCTCAAAAGAAGATATACAAATGGCTAACAAACATATGAAAACATTCTCAATATCACTAATTATCAGGGAAATACAAATCAAACCCACTGTGAGATATCACCTTACTCCTGCAAGAATGGCCATAATTTAAAAACAAAAAAAATAAGAGATATTGGTATGGGCATGATGAAAGGGAACAGTTTTACACTTCTGGTGGGAATGTAAACTGGTACAACCACTGTGAAAAATGGTATGGAGATTCCCTAAGGAACTAAAAGTAGAACCACTGTTCAAAACAGCTGTCCAACTACTGGATATCTACCCAGAGAAAAAGAAGTCATTATATGAAAAAGACACTTGCACATGCATGTTTATAGCAGCACAATTTATAGTCACAAAAATATGGAACCAGCCTAAATGTCCATTGAGCAATGAATGGATAAAGAAAATTTAGTATGTATATGACATGGGATACTACTCAGCCATGAAATGAAACAAAAGAATGGCATTTGCAGCAACCTGGATGGAATTGGAGACCATTATTCTAAGTGAAGTAACTCAGAAATGGAAAATCAACATTATATATTCTTACTCATAAGTGGGAGTCAAGGTATCGGAATGCAAAGGCATAAAAACGATATAATGGACTTTGGGGACATGGCGGGGAAGGGTAGGAGGGAGGCTAGAAATAAAAGAGTATGCATTGGATACAGTGTACACTGCTCGGTGACAGGTGCAAGAAAATCTCAGAAATTGCCACTAAAGAACTTATCCATGTAACCAAAAACCACCTCTTTCCTGAAAACTATTGAAATAAAAAATTATAAAAAATATTAAGTGGCCGGGCATGGTGGCTCACGCCTGTAATCCCAGCAGTTTGGGAGGCCAAGGTGGGCAGATCACCTGAGGTCGGGAGTTTGAGACCAGCCTGACCAACATGGTGAAACCCCGTCTCTACTAAAAATACAAAATTAGTCAGGCATGGTGACGCATGCCTGTAATCCCAGCTACTGGGCAGGCTGAGGCAGGAGAAACGCTTGAACCCAGGAGATGGAGGTTGCACTGAGCTGAGATCACGCCATTGTACTCTAGCCTGGGCAACAAGAGAGAAATTCCATCTCAAAAAATAAATAAATTAATTAATTAATTAATGACCTAAATATTGCAGGGCAACAAATAGAAAAATTTCTATATTCAAATAAGTGCTATACAGTATTTCACTTTTATTTTTTACTTGACAAATAAACATTATGTATATTTATGTTATAAAAAAACAAATTACAAAACTTCTGAAAGAATAATAAATATATTAAATTTTATATTTTAGGATATACTGATAATCATAGGATAACTCATGGCCTTAAGCATAAATAAAATTGTATGGAAGAATTAAAATAAAACAATAAAAGTAATTTGAAAAATAAAAACCAAACAAAAGACACACTTAAAGCCCAAAGTTTTACAAGCATATGCAGCAAACATTTAATAAACATGTAATCCCCCAAATACATCAATTTTTCTACAACATCAGAAGTAAGGGGGTCTTTTCTGTGTTACCAGTATGACATTGATATGGTTTGGCTCTATCAATGGTGTCTCCACCCAAATCTCACCTTGAATTGTAATAATCCCCATGTGTCAATAGTGGAATCAAGTGGAGGTAATTGGATTTTGGGGGCAGTTTTCCCTACACTTTTCTCATGAAAATAAGTAAGTATCACGAGATCTGATGGTTTCTTAAGCATCTGACATTTCGCCTGCTTGCACTCACTCCTTCGAGCTGCCCTGTGTGAAAGGCCCCTGCTTCTCCTTTGCCTTCCATCATGATTCTAAGTTTCCTGAGGCCTCCCCAGCAATAGGTAACTATGAGTCAATTAAACATCTTTCCTTTGTAAATTACCCAGTTCTTGGTATTTCCTCATAGCAGTATGAAAATGGACTAATACAGACATTGATACGTAAACCATTAATGATAGCACATGAATGTGAGAATTACAAATCAGTATCACAAATGCATATCAATTTAAAGATCCTAAATAAAATATAAACTAATAGAATGAAATATACTAATTAAATGATACAATATGACAAAGTGGGAAAATGATTTATTACTGGGGACTAAGTTTATTTTAATGTTAGGAAAATCATTAAATTAATTTACCACATCAATAAACCAAAGGTGAAAATTTTATGGCTATCTGTATAATGATAACACATTAAACACTCAATATCAATTTCTGATTAAAATTCATTAAGAAAAAAGGGATTGATGAATATTTATTTTTCATAATTACATTTTATATTTTAGTAATAAAACAAACATTTCCCAAATGTACCATGAATCTAAATATTAAAACATGCATACCTGCAGACACTTGTATGTACAAGAAGAAAATATAGGTGAATTCATCATGCTAATTTGAATGTACAGAATGGTTTTTAATAAGGATACCAATATAAAAGGACATAAAATAAGTGACTGATAACTTGAAATTACTTTTTACAATTTTTAGCATGGGCAAAATGCAATTAAAAAGTCAAAGGACAAATGCCAAACAAACACTTGCAACATTAATCACAAATAAGTAACCCATATCAACAGCACTCAGCATGCTTCTATAAATGTTGAGGGGAAGAAATAGAAACTTTGCAGAAAAATTAGAACACATAAAAATAATTCACAAAGTATGAAAAATTGCTTGTTAATATAGGGAATATTTTCAACTTTATTCATAATAAGAGGAATAAAAATTAAACATATCCTGAGAAATTCTTTCTCATAGTTGATCAAAAATAAAAGTGCAACAGTATGTTTATTTGGGAACCAAACACTCATATATTGCTTTAGAAATGCAAAATGTTTTAACCTTATGCATTTGAATTTGATAACATCTAATAAATCTGTAAATATTTTACCCTTAAATCCAATCATCTTCAACAGGAAAACACGTCTGCATGAGTATACTCATTGAAACTTTATTTGTAAAATAGTACAACAAAAGAGCATATAAAATGTGTGACATTTTATGTTAAAGAAAGAAGAAATAAGAAACCATTCATTTATCTGCATATTTTTATAAAAAGAAATGCAGGAAGGATAAACTAGAAACTAATTAAATTGGTTACCAACATAGATAGGTAGGAGCAGAGTCGAAAGGATTGAGGGAGAAGTACATAACTGAAAACACTTTTCTTATATATAATTTTATTTTGGGGATCATATAAATTTCTTACTACTCAATAAAGTAACAAAATATAAAATACAGAGCAAATACAGTTATAAAATGGACAGATGCTGTATTTAAAAATTATTTTTGCTCTGGTGTGTAATCTCCAAGCCAAATTTATCATTACAAAATGCTTAGTTTTATTTCAAGATTCAGTATTTTTATTGTATAATTCTTCATTTTCAAAATTGTCTAAATCCTGAGGTACAGACTATATTTATAATATGCAGTCTATAGTGGCTCAATTTAAGATATCTGGAAGTGTTTTACTTACTAGTCTCATTATTAAAGACTACTCCTATCATGTTGACTAAAAGTAACATTGGTCATTTTTCACTGAAACTCTCCTTTCAAGCACACAAACACGCCACAGTATAACAAAATATGTTTCACAGCTCTATTAAAAGCATTCTGTAAAATAAGTTGCTTATCAATTTTAGGGCATTGACTTTTGAAAATTTTGATGTTTAACTTTTGATTCTAAAAATATGCACAAAAATTTACTATGATATTATTTTCCCCTTGCCTATCTGCATAAATGTGCATGGTTCTTATTTTTTCCTTTGAATGGATAGAAGAAGCATAAATTCTATCATATTTACAAACCTCAAGACAGTATTAAACATGATAAACAATATTGCTGCATTTGAAAATGGCCTTGTTGAGGCCAAAAAGGAGGTAGATATAATTAAGAGCTTCTTTCTTGGTCACTGCTTAATATAAAGCTTTATTTTTCCAACTCTGTGTTTAATATGGGGATAGAAATAAAGTGAGATAAACTAATATTAATGAAGCCCTTAAGTAAATAATGGAGGTGAAAAGTTCGACAAGCAATAAGAAACCTGATATTGAGGAAAAAGGAATATATGAAAATGCATGTTCATCTACATGTTATCTTGGATAGATGGAGTCTATCATTCAT